>NC_000001.11:208487617-208639132 GCF_000001405.40 Homo sapiens
TGAAGCCACGGACCCTCACGGTGAGTGTTACAACTCTTAAGGTGGCGCGTCTGGAGTTTGTTTCTTCTGATGTTCGGATGTGTTCGGAGTTTCTTCCTTCTGGTGGGTTCATAGTCTCGCTGGCTCAGGAGTGAAGCTGCAGACCTTCGCAGTGAGTGTTGCAGCTCTTAAGGTGTCGCCTCTGGAGTTGTTCGTTCCTCCCGGTGGGCTCGTGGTCTCGCTGGCTTCAAGAGTGAAGCTGCAGACCTTCGCAGTGAGTGTTACAGCTCATAAAAGCAGTGTGGACCCAAAGAGTGAGCAGTAGCAAGATTTATTGCAAAGAGCGAAAGAACAAAGCTTCCACAGCGTGGAAGGGGATCCGAGCGGGTTGCCACTGCTGGCTCGGGCAGCCTGCTTTTATTCTCTTATCTGGCCCCACCCACATCCTGCTGATTGGTAGAGCCCAGTGGTCTGTTTTGACAGGGCGCTGATTGGTGCCTTTACAATCCCTGAGCTAGACACAAAGTTTCTCCACGTCCCCATCAGATTACTTAGATACAGAGTATCCACACAAAGGTTCTCCAAGGCCCCACTAGAGCAGCTAGATACAGAGTGTCCATTGGTGCACTCACAAACCCTGAGCTAGACACAGGGTGCTGATTGGTGTGTTTACAAACCTTGTGCTAGATACAGAGTGCCCATTGGTGTATTTACAATCCCTGAGCTAGACATAAAGGTTCTCCAAGGCCCCACAAGACTCAGGAGCCCAGCTGGCTTCACCCAGTGGATCCCACACTGGGGCTGCAGGTGGAGCTGCCTGCCAGTCCCGTGCCACGCGCTCGCACTCCTCAGCCCTTGGGTGGTCGATGGGACTGGGCGCCGTGGAGCAGGGGGCGGCGCTCGTCGGGGAGGCTCGGGCTGCACAGGAACCCACGGAGGTGGGGGAAGGCTCAGGCACCGCGGGTTGCAGTCCCAAGGCCTGCCCCGCGGGAAGGCAGCTAAGGCCCTGTGAGAAATCGAGTGCAGCGCCGGTGGGCTGGCACTGCTGGGGGAACCCAGTACACCGTCCGCAGCCGCTGGCCCAGGTGCTAAGTCCCTCATTGCCCGGGGCCAGCAGGGCCGGCTGACTGCTCCGAGTGCGGCGCCCGCCAAGCCCACGCCCACCCGGAACTCCAGCTGGCCCGCAAGCGCCGCACACAGCCCCGGTTCCCGCTCGCGCCTCTCCCTCCACACCTCCCTGCAAGCTGAGGGAGTGGGCTCCAGCCTTGGCCAGCCCAGAAAGGGGCTCCCACAGTGCAGCGGTGGGCTGAAGGGCTCCCCAAGTGCCGCCAAAGTGGGAGCCCAGGCATAGGAGGCGCCGAGAGCGAGAGAGGGCTGTGAGGACTGCCAGCACGCTGTCACCTCTCAACTTGGTATGGTCAGTTAATTTTAGTCATTCTAATATGTGTATAGTGGTATCTTATTGTGTCCTTAGGAACAAATGATCTTGAACATCTTTTCGTGTGTGTGTGTATGTGTGTATGTGTGTGTGTGTGTTTGCCATCTATATATATATTTTTTGGTAAAGTGTCTGTTCAAATCTTTTGCTCTTTATTTAGTTATTTGTTTTATTGTTGAGTTTTGAGAGTTCTTATTGTAAAACAGTTTTGATAATTACCAATACCAAAAGAAGATTCCCATTTCGTGGAGGATAGCAAAGATCATCATTATGCCAACTACCAGAAACGGATGTCCCTATACTTATGTCCATGGCATCATGGGCTACTGCTAATGTCCACCATGCATGGGTGACTTATTTGTCTGAGTTTGGTGAGACAGAATACACTCACATGCAACGAGTTATGTAAAGGGGTTTATTACTTAAAGATAAACAGCAAGGGACAGAAGAAGTCTCAGATCCATTGTGAACTGGTCCCCAAAGGATCAAGAAAGCTGGCCAAAGTGGATAAGGTCTTGACTGTGGGTGGGACCCCCAAAGGGCAGCACACCCCTGATTATATACTTCAGGAACCATGTGCCTTATCAAGTGAAGCTTTGAAGGACATCCTGCTTCTAGAGGAAGAAGGAACAAAGACCAGGCTGTCCCAGAGAGTTCCTCCCTAAGTTAAGATATTACATATCCAAAGATGATGAATAGGAACAAAACCTAGGCTGCTTCAGGCAGTTCTCCCCTCTCTAAGGATACTACATTCCCAAAACATTCAACAGTTATTCTTGAGAACTACAAGAAAGAAAGAAGAGAAAACTAGGTCAGTCCAAGGCCACCCAAACAACTGTCTTGAGTTTTTGTATTCTACGTACAAGTCCTTCATGTTTTGCGAATATATTTTCCTAGTCTGTGGCTTGTCTTTTCATTGTCTTAGTGGCATTTTTAGGGCAGATTTTTAAACCTTTAATAAAGATAAATTTATCTGGTTTTTTTTTCTTTTAAGGATCATACTTTTGGTGTCATATATAATAAATCTTTGCATAATTCAAAATTTTTCTCTATGTTTTCTTCTAGAAGTCAATTATCTTTTAAAGAGGTTTCTTAAAGGAAGACAATCTTACATATTTATTCATTTACTAATAGTCAATTTTAATATAGTCAATTATCTTTTAAAGAAGTTTCTTAAAGAAAGAAAATCTTACATATTTATCCATTTACTTATCCATTCCATTGTGTAGATTGATGTTTTGGTCAGATATCATTTTATTTTTGTCTGAGTAATATCCTGTAGCATTTCTTATGAGTTTGCTGGTAATGAATTCTGTCCATGTTGTTGTCTGTGAAAATCTCTATTTCACCTTTATTTTTGAAAGATTTTTTTTTCTGGACTTAGAATCGTGGACTGGTGGTTTGTTTGTTTTTTAATTTTTGTATGTTAAAGATGTTGCTCCACTCTCTTGCTTGCCTTGTTAATGATAAGACATTTGTTGTCATCTTTCTTTCCTTCCCTATATATAATTTTTTCCCCTGTGGATACTTTTAAGATTTTTTTTTTAACATTGGTTTTAAAAAACTTTAATTATAATGTGCTTTGGTGTAATTTTCTTCATGTATTTTGTGCTTGGGGTTTGCTGAGCTTCTTAGATCTGTGGGTTCATAGTGTTTTTTTCAGATTTGGAACTTTTTTGCCATTATTTCTTCAAAGGATATTTGAAAAATATGTTCTCTCATCTCTCTTCTTCCTTAGAAACTCCAATTACATATATTAGGCATATAATGGTTGAATTAGTTATTTGATGCTTTGTTCATTGTTTCCTTTTCTTTTCTCTTTGTATTTTATTTTGGATAGTTTCTGTTGCTATGTTTTAAAATTCACTATTATTTTCTGCAATTCTAGTCTATCATTAATTACATGCAGTGTATTCTTTATTTCACACATTGTAGTTTTCATTTATAGAAGTTCAATGTGTATCTTTTTCATCTTCCATGACTCTACTTAACTTTTTGTTAGGTATAGTTTATTTATTTATTTTTTGTATAACTTTATGAGGTAGTTGCACAATTTTGTTATATGCAAAGATACATAGTGGCGAAGTCAGACCTTCCAGGGTACCATCACCTGAATAATGTACATTCTATCCATTAACTTAACTTTGTGAAAATATAAAATGGTTATAATAATTGTTTTAGTGACTTTTCTGCTAATTCTAACACTTGTGTGCTATTCTCAGTTTGTTTTTATTGACCAATTGGTATCCTCATTTTGAATTGCATTTTCCTACTTCTTGTCATGCCTTGAATTTTGTTATTTTAAAAAATAATTTCAACTTTTTTTTTGAGTTTCAAGGGGTACCTGTGCAGGTTACTTACAGCATGCACCATGAGTATATTGTACGATGCTGAGGTTTGGAGTTCAAATGATCCCATCATCCAGGTAGTGAGAAGAGTACCCAATAAGTAGTTTCTGAGCCCTTGTCCACTGCCTCCCTTCTGCCTCTATCAGTTCCCCATGCCTGTTGTTCCCAATTTTATGTATACGTTTGCCCAATGCTTAGCTCCCACTTATAAGTGAGAACATGTGGTATTCGGTTTTCTGTTCCTGTATTAATTCGCTTAGGATAATGGCCTCCAGCTGCATCCATGTTACTGCAAAGGAAATTATTTCATTCTTTTTTTATGGCTGTGTAGAATTCTATGGCATATATGAACTTCTTTTCTTTATCTAATCCCATGGTGGATTCTTTATCTAATCTACCATGGGATTAGAAAAAGAAAAGAAGTGGGCACCTAGCTTGATTCCATGTCTTTGCTATTGTGAATAGCGCCACAATGAACATATGAGTGCATGTGCCTTTTTGGTAGAACAATTTATTTTCCTATATTTATATACCAAGTAATGTTATTGCTGGGTTGAATGGTAGCTCTTAAAAGTTCTTTGAGAAATCTCCAAACTGCTTTCCACAGTGGCAGAATGAATCTACATTCCCAGCAACAGTGTATAATCATTTCCTTTTCTCCACAGCCTCACCAGTATCTGTTGTATTTTAAAATTTTAAACATGTTGAGTTAATTTTTGCATATGGTTCAAAGTTGGCACCTATCTTCATTCTTCTGGATATGATTGAACAGGTATCTCAGTACTATTTATTGAATAGGGAATCCTTTCCTCATTGCTCATTTCTGTTTACTTTGTCAAAAATCAGATGACTATAGAAGTGTGGCTTTATTTCTAGGGTCTCTACTCTGTTCCATGGATCTATGCGTCTATGTTTTTGTACTAGTACCATGCTGTTTTGGTTACCGTAGCGTTATAGTATTAGTTGAAGTCAGGTAATGAGATGCCTCTAGCTTTGTTCTTTTTGCTTGGAATTGTTTTGGCTATTCCGGCTTTTTTTTTTTACTCCATATAAATTTTATAATATTTT
Source organism: Homo sapiens (assembly GCF_000001405.40). Taxonomy (NCBI): domain Eukaryota; kingdom Metazoa; phylum Chordata; class Mammalia; order Primates; family Hominidae; genus Homo; species Homo sapiens. The sequence goes on from NC_000001.11 coordinate 208,492,451, forward strand.
TCCATAATTCTGTAAAAAATGACATTGGTACTTTGGTAGAAATAACAATGAATCTGTAGATTGCTTTGGGCAGTATGGCCATTTTAATGATATTGATTCTTCCAAACTATGAGCATGGAATATTTTTTTTTCATTTGTTTGTATCATCTATGATTTTTTTTAGTCATGTTTTATAGTTCTCCTTATAGAGATCTTTTACCTTCTTGGTTAGATGTATTCCTAGATACTTCATTTTTCTGCAGCTATTGTAAATGGGATTGTGTTATTGGTTTGGCCCTCAGTTTGAATGTTACTGGTGTATAGAAATGCTACTGATTTCTGTACATTGATTTTATATCCTGAAACTTTACTGAAGTCATTTATCAGTTCTAGGAGCTTTTTGGTAGAGTCTTTAGGGATTTTTGGTATAGAATCATATCATCAGTGAAGAGAGATAATTTGCCTCCTTTTTCCCATTTGGATGCCTTTTATTTCTTTCTCTTGCCTGATAGCTCTAGCAAGGACTTCCAGTACTCTGTTGAATAGGAGTGGTGAGAGTAGGCATCCTTGTCTTATTCTTGTTCTTAAGGAAAATGTTTTCAGCTTTTGCCAGCTCAGTATGATGTTGGCTGTGGGTTTGTCATAAATGAGCCTTATTATTTTGAGGTATGTTCCTTCAGTGCTTAGTTTTTTGAAGATTTCTATCATAAAGGGATGTTGGATTTTATCAAAAGCTTTCTCCATGTCTATTGAAATGATCATACATTTTTGTTTTACATGCTGCTTATGTGGTGAATCACACTTATCGATTTGCCTGTGTTGAACCAACCTTGTGTCCTAGAAATGAAGCCGACTTGACTGTGGTGAATTAACTTTTTGATGTACTGCTGGATTCATTTTGCTAATATTTTGCTGAGGATTTTTGTGTCTATATTTATCAGGGATATTGGCCCGTAGTGGTACAATTCAGCTGTGAATCCATCTGTGGCTTGTTTGATTGATAGGTTTTTATTATTATTATCATTATTATTATTACTGATTCAATTTTAGAACTCAATATTGGTGTGTTCAGGATTTTGATTTCTTCCTGAGTCAATCTTGGGATGTTGTGTGTTTCCAGGAGTTTATCCATTTCCTCTAGATTTTCTAGTATGTATGCCTAGAGGTGTTCATCATAGTCTCTGAGGATCATTTATATTTCTGTGGGGTTGGTTGTAATGCCACCTTTGCCATTTCTGATTCTGCTTATTTGCATATTCTCTTTTTTGTGTTGTTTTTTAATGTAGCTAGCAGTCTACTGAATTTGTTTGTCTTTTCGAATAACCAACTTCTGGTTTCAGTGATTCTTCATATGGTATTTTGGGTCTGAATTTTTTTCAGTTCTGCTCCAATTTAAATTATTTCTTTTCTTCTGCTAACTTTGAAGTTAGTTTGGTATTGTTTTTCTAGCTTCTCTAGCTTCTTTTCTTGTCGTTTCTAGGTGTGACATTAGACCATTAATTTGAAATCTTTCTAACTTTCTGATATAGGCATTCAATGTTATGAACTTTCCTCTTAACACTGCTTCTGCTGCATCTCAGAGATTTTGGTATGTTGTATATCTGTTTTTAATATTTCAAGTAATTTTTTTGTTTCTGCCTTAATTTATTTAATTTCCGTCTAATTGTGTTGTTTTGAGAGATCTTCTTGATATTTATTTCTATTTGTATTCCACTGTGGTTTGAGAGTATAGTTGGTATGATTTCAATTTTTTTGAACTTATTGAAACTTGCTTTATGGCCATACATGTGGTCTATCTTAGACTATGTTCTGTGTGCAGATAAGAATGTATATTCTTTGGTTGATGGGTGGAGTATCCTGCAGATATCTATTAGGTCCTATTGCTCATGTGTTGAATTTAAGTCCAAAATGTCTTTGTTAATTTTCTATGTTAATAATTTGTCTAATGCTGTCAGTAGGGCATTAAAATCCCCCACTATTATTGTGTAACTGTTCAAGTCTTTTGTAGGCCTAGAAGTACTTGTTTTATTATTAATCTGGGTATTCTAATGTTGGGTGTGTTTATATTTAGAATAATTAAGCCTTCTTGTTGAACTGAACTTGTTATCATTGTGTAATGTTCCCCTTTGTCCTTTTTTACTGTTGTTAGTTTAAAGTCTGTTTTATCTAATATGAGAATAATTACCCCACTCTTTTTAATTTTCTGTTTGTTGATAGATCTTTCTCCAACAAATCAAAGGCTTTACTTTGAGCTTGTGGGTGTCATTGTGAGTGAGATGGGTCTCTTCAAGAAAGATAGATGGGTCTTGTCTTTTTTTTTTTTTTCCTAGCCAAGTTGCCATTTTATGCCTTTGAAGTGGGGCATTTAGACAATTTACATTTAAGGTTAATATTGAGATTGTGAGGGTTTGATCATATTGTGAACTTAGCTGGCTTCTTTGCAGTTTCTAGTGTGTGGTTGCGTCATAGGGTCTGTGGGCCATGTACTTTAATGTGTTTTTGTGGTATCAGGCATTGTGTTTTTATTTCCATGTTTGGAACTCCATTAAGGATCTCTTGTAAGTCTTGTCTAGTGGTAATGAATTCCCTTAGCACTTGATTATCTAGAAAGTATTTTATTTTTCCTTAGCTTATGAAGCTTAGTTTGGTGGGAAATGAAATTCATGGTTGGAATTTCTTTTCTTTGAGAATGCTGAAAATAGGCCCCCAATCTCTCCTGGCTTGTAAGGTTTCTGCTGAGAAGTCTACTGTTAGCCTGATGGGGTTCCCTTTGTACGTGATCTGACCTTTTTCTCTAGCTGCCTTTAAGATTTTTTCTTTAGCATTGATGTTGGACAGTCTGGTGACTATATGCTTTGGGGGTGTTCATTTTGTATAATATCTCCAGGACACCTGTATAATCCAGATGTTCTCTGGATTTCTTGTATCTGGATGTCTACTGCTCTATCAAGATTAGAGAACTTTTCTTGAATTATTCCCTCAAATATATTTTCTAGTTTGTTTACTTTTTCTCCTCTCTCAGGAATGCCAATAATTCATTGGTTTAGTCATTTTACATAATCCCATATGTCTCAAAGATAATCCCATATTTCTCAAAGACTTTGTGTGCTTTTTAAATTTCTTTTTTTAAAAAAATTCTTGTCTGGCTTGGTTAGTTTAAAAGGCTGTTTTTCAAGCTTTGAAATTATTTCTTCTGCTTGGTATAGTCTATTGATAAAGCTGTCAATTGTGTTTTGAAATTGCTTAAGTAAGTTTTTTAATTCCAGAAGCTCTGATTTATTTTTTTAAAGATGTTTATCTCTTCTTCCATTTCCTGGATTGCTTTAAAAGTTTTTTTGTGTGTTGATTTTCAGTCTTGTCCTGGATCTCATTGAGCTTCCTTGCAATCCATGCTTTGAATTCTTTGTCTGTCATTTCTGAGTTTCCATTTTGTTAGGGACTATTGCTGGAAAACTAGTGTGATCTTTTGGTGGTGTTACTACATTCAGATTTTTCATAGTGCCAGAATTCTTGTGCCGGTTTCTTCTCATTTGGAGATGCTGGCAATTCTAACTTTTATAACCATTTTTATGTGGATAAGATTTTTTCTTTTTCATTTTTTCCCTGTAATATTATTATTATTTTAAAATTTTCCTTTTCCTTCTCCCCACCAGGGGGTGTGGCTTTAGAGAATGCTGGGTAGGGTCTCTTGGTTTTGCTTTTATAGCTGTATGCACTTCTGTCAGCAGGTTTTATATTGGGCTAACCTACAAGCCAGTAGATGGTGCTTATGGGTAAGAGCCAGCTGTGGCAGATATGGCTGGGTATATACTTGATGCATGTTTACTGGGAGAAACTCTCTGCTGCCTCAGGCAGTGAGCTGATCTGTGAAGTACACAGTGGTCTGAGTTCCCTGCTCAGCTCTGGAGTGGGGAGAGGGGTACAGGTGAGGCAAAAATGCAAGGGGAGGGACCAGGTATGGCACAAGCACCAGTGCTGAGGGAGAATATAATGAACAGCCACCAAACACCCAGACGTGTGTCTAGATGTGGAGCTGGGAAACCTCCTTGTCCCTAAGTACTCTGCATGGGGAGGGGGTGTGGCCTAAACTGCTAATTCAGGAGACTGGGTGCTTCAGATACCTAGAGATTTGCCAGGGCATGAAGTATGGAAGGCCCTGCTGTACCAAGGTTTCTGCACAGGATGGGTGAGGTGTTTCAGGCTGCTAATCCAAGTGAGCTGTTACTCTGAATGCCTGGAGACATGCCTAGGCATGGGCAGAGAGGGCCCTGCTGTACCACAACGTATACGGTGGCTCAGGCTGCTAATCCAGGTGAGTGGGTGCTTTGACTGCCTGGAGAGCTGCATGGGTATGGAGCAGAGAGGCCCCTGCTACATCATAATCTCTGCACAGGAAGGGTGGAGTGGCTGCTGGTCCAACTGAGTGGGTGCTCCAAATGCCTGGTGATCTGCCAGGCATGGAGTGGAAGGAGCCCCCCTGCACCAGGATCTCTGTGTAGGAACGGTGGGGCAGCTCAGGTTGCTCATCCAGGCGAGTAGGTGCCCCAAATGCCTGGAGATCTGCCTGAGTGTGGAGCAGATAGGGCCTCATCGCACCAAGATCTCAGGGCAGCAGGCCAAGATCTTGGAGCCAAAGAGGCTTCCCAGCTCCACATGTAGGCACACCTCTGGGTGCTCGGTGACTGCTGAAGGTATTCTCCCTCAGCACCCTGCAGGGACACATGCAGACAGGTTCCAGGTCACCAAGCTGGCCCTGGCTGCAAGTCTCGTTTCCCGGGAGAAACTGGGCCCAGGTTTGTAACATGGGGTGCGGGGGCACAATTCCAGCACCTACTGCTGAGGCGCTTTCCATAGCTATGTCTATGGAGGCTCCTACTCTGCTCCAAAGCACATGTTCCCGATCTCTGGCTTCAGATTAAAATGTCTATATGGCGACACTGCTGCGTTACCAAATGATGACTTTGTGTGTGCCCAGATTAAAACTGCTCCTGCTCCCAGTCTGGGAAAATGTCTGCAGCTTTTCCTAGTGTCTTTTCCTCTGAGGATCTCCAAGCCTGTCCCCAAGTTAGCTCTAGGTCTTGGGGAGAAACAAAGTTTTCTCCCTGGCTTGGGTGGCTTGGATCCCCAGTGGACAGGTGAGTCATGGAGGGTAGCTCTCTGCCTCTCCCGTGTTCTGGGGCTGCACTCACTCTTATCAGCTGAATGTCTTCACGGGGGCTTTTTGCTGGTGTTCTCTTCCCCAGGATCTGGGGTGTCCCATTTCCATTTTGAAATAAAGCTCACAGAGTCAATTTTTATGCACTACCTTGCTATTTCCAAGTGGCTGAGGCATGTTAAAAGCCTCTAATGCCATCTTGGAAAAAAAATGAAATAATTTTCTTTTTCTTTTTTTTTTTTTTTCTGATGCCAGGTACTACACATTTACTTTGTTGGTTCTTAGATATGTTGTACTCTTTTAAATTGTCTTGAGCTTTGTTCTTGAATACAGTTAAGTTACTTTGAAACAGTCCGGCTCTCTTGGGTTTTGCTTTTAATCTTTGTTAAAAGGGACCAGAGTGGTATGTGGAGCAGCACTAAGGATTCTCCACCACTGAGGAAAGATTCCTCGGAATAGTTTACCCAAAGACCCATGAATCATAAAACCTTCCAGTTTGGCTGGTGGGAAAGGAACTATTCTTTGACCTATGTGAGCACTGGTTACTGTTCCTTCTAATCCTTTCTGAGTGGCTCTTTCTTCAGCCTCAGGGTTTTTCTCACATGCTTGCACTTAGTCTTCAGCTGAATACTCGAGCGGCACCCTCTACAATTGCCAGAGTTCTTTTCTGTAGTTCCCTTCTTTTCAGTATTCTCTCCTGTGCACCCCAGCCACCTGGTTCTCAGCTGACTTTGAGCTCTGTTTTCAGCTGAGTTTGAGCTCTGTTTATTCAGGGAGTCTGCCAAACTTTACCTGAGTTCTTCCTCCATGCTCCACATCCTGGAACCTCTATCAAGACCTAAGCTAGACCAATTGCTCACTGCATTTGTTTCCCATCCCTCAAATTATTCTTCATAATCTGCTATCTAGTGACTTGAAAATTATTTGCTTTTTTGTTTGCTTGTTTGTTTTTAGGAAGGAAGGTAAATCCAGTCATTGCTTACCCCATCTGGGTGGGAAGCAGAAGTCCTGGTGTTAACAATATTAGTAAAAGACAAAATAGGCTGGAATAAAAATATTATTAAGAATAACTAAGGGCATTGCATAAAAACTAAAGAATCTATTTAACAAGAAATATGAAATCCAGAATCTCAAGGAGTTTCTCTCATAGAATCCAAGTTCTTTAACCACAATACAATAAATTTTAAAATCATGAACAAAAAGATAGCCTTATAGAATCTCACGAAATATTGATACATGATAGGGTAATTCGGGGACATAAAGAACAGACTCATGTTTGAGGATAAAAGGGTTAATACTAAGAATATATAAAGAACTTGTACAGATTGATCATAAATCCCAATAGAAAAATAGGCACAAGATTTAGCAAACATTTTGTAAAATAAGAAACATGAATGTTTAATAAACACAAAAGACACTCATTTTCCCAGTAAGCAGGGAAATGCTAGAGCAACAGTAATTTGGTGAAATCTCTAGCATATTTGACAGTTAGAACACATAATTTTTTAACACCTCCCTCCTCTGTACAACAAAATTATTTTCAGTGACAATTATGAAATGAAGCTATATGTGATTTTGAAGGCACTATATAGTTCAAAGTAGATCTAGATGTTGCGTCACTTCCTCTGGTTTTGTTTTGTTTCATAATTATCTTTGTTGAACTTCACTGAGTCAATGTCATTATGTCGGGTTCCCACTTCAAATCTCTTTACAAAATTCATAATAATTATGAGCCAATACAGTCATGGTTTCAAGTTCCTCCATGTTCCTACTAGAACGAGAAAAAAATCACAACTATTTATTCTACAGTTTTATATATACCTAATAGTTTGAATTTGGATCATTTGATAAAAATCAGATATAATATTTAATGTACATCATTGTCTAATAACTAATTAATAAATTTTAATAAAACCCTTTTTTCTTAATTCATACTTTAGTTTTAAAACAAAATGAATAAATTTCAATTTTAAAGATATCGTTCAGATTTAGCATGGCATTTTATGCACAAACTAAAATTGGCACTTATCAAACAAAAATATTAGACCTCCCAGTTTATACTCTGACTCACTGTTTTAAATATCAAACACAAATAAATACTCCAAGTGGTCACATAGAATGACAAATCTGAAATGACTCAAATTCTCTTTCTTTGCTTTTTCAGTCGTAGTGCCATCCTTGTTTATTTCAAATCTACTGTTTAAACACAGGAAGATGCAGTGCCACAGGGATTGCAGATAAGGTTTGAGCAGAAGCCCAAGCAAACATTCAGGCCATTATAAACTTACTCTCGAAATGAAGGCAGAAGCCGGGTGCGGTGGCTCATGCCTATAATCCCAGCACTTTGGGAGGCCAAGGCAGGTGGATATCTTAAGGTCAGGAGTTTGAGATCAGCCTGGCCAACATAGTCAAACCCCATCTCTACTAAAAATACAAAATTTAGCCAGGCATTGTGGTGGGTGCCTGTGATCCCAGCTACTCGGGAGGCTGAAGCAGGAGAATCACCTGAATCTGGGAGGTGTAGGTTGCAATGGCAGAGATCACCCTACTGCACTCCAGCCTGGGTGATGGAGTGACAGCCCATCTCAAAAAGAAAGAAAGAAATGAAATGAAGGCAGGTAGCTGAATCCATGTGTATTCAGGGTTGACTACGTAACTGGGAGTACTCCAATTTAACTTTCATGTAAAATATAATGTTTGTTAAAAGACAAGGAACAAATGTACTCATTTAAAGCTTACACATCTATTACTAATTTTTAATAATAACCATCACAGGGTAGGTTTTTTTTTCTCCTGGAGAGTAGGATGGATATTGGTAGTTCATTGGAAATGATCCAAAGCTGATGACTTAAAGTCTGTGGATACCAGGAGTTAGATAAATGGCTTGTCTGGGAAGAGCCGTTCCACAGCCAAAAGGAACAAGCATAGCCAGGCCATCAGGACAGCAGTGCCAGTGAGCAACAACAGCCACGGCTCTGATGAGCCAGTGACTGCAGCAGCTCTGGCAGAGAAAGCTGTAAAGTAATTAGTGCATCTGAAAATCCATTTAGGCATCTAGTTATATGACATCTCCAGATGGGGAGAGCAGCATTCTGATTCTGAAGGACACATATTTTAAGTGGATTAAGAAAGGAAATTATTTTAAATGTAGGAAGGTATAATTAACCTGAGGACCCTGGCTGCCATAAGATATTGTTGAGGGGAAGGACTAACGGAAACTCAGAACCCATTAGGCTTATGGCTGAATACATGGGGCGGTCCCATCTCCCTGGGAGTATTGTTCTGTGAGTGAATTTTAATTTGTGGGACAACAAAGCTTTGTGGGGACTATGCCCCAGGCAGGCTTGTGCTCTTTCGCGTGAGGACTTCATAAAAGCACCACCTATATGTGGATGCACCTGTATATGTGTGCTTAACAAATGGCTACTTCTTTGCTTTAAGATATTTGGAAATCATCTTTGGCTTTTCATGTAGGACTGGAGACAGATGCCAGAGCAAGGTTTGTGGAAGTAACAGTTACAGACTACTGCTGGGGTTCCAAAAACCAGGTGTGGAAAAAAACACAGTAAAGGGAAACTCTTCCCTGAAGAGATTAGGGACCATCGAGTACAAGGAAGCTTTGTGGCAGGAAATAGAAGAGAAAGCCAGGAGAGTTGGGAATCAGAAAGACACACATGTAAGCCCATGTAGGAGAGCTCAAGGGTTGGAGCAGAGTGAGAGATTCTAGAAGGAAGAGGAAGGAAATGGACACCACACAAAAGCTGGGAGCAGTTGGACACCTCAGTCCAGAAGAATGAACACAAATGATTTCAGTGAAGTTCTCTTAAGATGAGCATCTCTGGGCCGAGACGCAGTTGACCAAGGCAAAGAGGATTGTGGAGAAGACAGCAGCCAGTGAGGAGGAGGGGAAACAGGTAGACAGAAGCTGGCCCAGGTGCCAGTGGCATCTTCATCTATTGACTATCATTATGAACCTTCCTTTACCACTTTCCTTCTGTCCTTGTGCTTATCATTGCCTGGCCTTTCATTTCCACCTCTCTGTTTATCTGACAAAGTGAGCAGAAATCTTTATCCATTTTGTTTACTATGTCCCCAACACCCAACAAAATGGTGCTTGGCATTTATTGAGTGAATAAATGAACAAACATTGCACTGACATAGCTCAGTTGGGGTGGAGGCTGACCTACTCATGGATCAAGGGTCAGAGCTGACAATGACAAAATCACTGCCAGTCGAATTCAATGTATTTGTGGTACGGATTTGGCCCATTTCCTTACAAAGTAAGGTGGGAATTGGATAGAGACAGGTCTGGGGACTAGGCCAACACACATATGTTGCTTGTTCTCCTTTCTGGAGATATTTCCCCAGGGTTAAAATGTGGCTTAATTCCAAGAAATACTTCTTTTTCCTTTAGTTCTCCTGATGTGTAGATGCCCTGGGAGGATAGATTCTGTGAAGAGACAAATCATTAGATGGAGACACCAATGAGAAAGTCCCAAACCAAATACCTTACCCGTTTGCTGATCTGTATTTCATTGCATTAATAGGTACTTTGTTTTTGCAAAAAATTGCTGAAGGAATGGAAATCTCTCTCTCTAGTATAATTGAGTTCTTTTTTATCTCTTTCTTACCCTCAAGTAACACTGGACATGGCTACAGCCTGTAATACTCTGTTTTGAGGTCACCTCATTCTTGTTTTGAGACAAACAACTAGACCAGGTCACTCCAGATAAAACAAGAAAGACTGTTCTTTTTTCACAAATTGCTAGAGGCATGTTTAATAGAAATCTAAGAAAACCTAAAGAAAGGCTCAGAGTTGTTCAAATATTTCAGGGCACTTGTGGGTACTTTGTTGTTTTGTTTTATTCTTCATATTCATAGAAAGAATCTCAAATTAGGCAGTAAGAAAACAAAATTATAAACCATAGAGAATTGAAGAAGTGGTAGAAAGACCATATTATGGGCATGAGACATAGTAGGATCTAGCAATCTTTGTAACTGCCCTCCAGGGAAGAGTAATATGGCTTTGGCTTTATCCCTTTTACTTTGAAGCATAGTCCCTTCATCTCTTTGACTGGGCAGGGTATCCTGAATGGTGCCGTACAAATATTAGTGCAAACAAATCCAAGTCAATAGCTGTGTGACCTTGGGTAAGTCACATAGCCTCTCAACTTTAGTTTCTTTTCCTTTTTTAAATCATTTGATTATTTAAAATTTTACACCAATTGGTCTGTAAGGTCATCTCTGTCCCCAGTAAAGAAAATCTTGTCCTATGTATAAGTCTTATTTTCTTGGAAGGAAACTGCATGGTAATTTAGAGGCAGTGAGATACAGAGGAAAAAAAGATAAGCTTTGGAGTCATAAAAGCTGGGTTCGAATTTCAGCTCTAACTTTTATTAGGTCGGTTATCTTTATGCCTAAAATGAAGATGGTGATATCACTTAAGTCACATGATTGTTGTAAGAACTAACTGAGATCAAATACACTATCACAAATGAAAGTACCTGGCCCAGGCCTTGACATAATGAAGGAGCTTAATAAATAGACAAGAGCCAAGTTGTCAAGGCACTGGGGAGCTGGGCAGGGTGACCACACTGCAACTGTTGCTCCCAAGTCAGGGCTGACTAATGCTGGCCCAGTGCTGGGCACCCATGTGGCATGCTCTGACAGAGCAGGTGCACTCCAGAGACCCCCTCGAAGACCTCTGGGTGGGGACGGTCTAGAGTTAAAAAGGGATCCCTCCAGAGTGTTGAACTTCAGGTCCCATCTTTAAATAACTCTTCAGCACATAAGAAAGTGTTCTGGGAGCAAGGAGGGGAGTTGGTGGGGGAAGGAAGGTAGAGGTGGAGAAGAGGGAGATAGAAAAAGCATTTTTTGAGATCATGTTTGAATAAACAAGAACAGAATTCAAAAAAGTAGATTTCTATCAAAAACCACTCGAGAAACATGATGTGACTTGGCCATGTCTTGTTTGGTTTCTTGTTCCATCGAAAAGTTGATCAGATCACTGCTTCTGTCTGATCAAAAACAAGATGTACACCTGAGAAAAATGAACAGCCTGCTGATGAGTGAAATGGTTTAAAATGGGGGTTTGATTTCGATTAGTTTGCCTTACTGTGCTTCAGGGGGAGCTTATGCCTTCTCTTTACAATGACCATGGCTCCCCTTGGCTACCCGGGCATGATTAATATTTGAGGTCAGAGTCTGGCCTGTAGAATTCTAGCCCAATTTTACATTAACGTTTTTAAGACTTCCAGGCAAATGAATACTCATGTGCACGCAGGGGTTAGATATGCACACGAGTGCTCCAGAAATGAAGGTAAAGTAACGTGGAAGGATTGACGTTTGTAACTTCAAAGTCAAGGGAATTCAAAGCTAAGCCCCAAAGAGCTGTGGTGAGTCACCAAGGCTGCACAGGATTAAGATACATAAGATAGCCCCTCACCCAGGAATAAAAAACAGCACTTTCAGCCGAGGCAACCTGGGAAAAATTTGTTCTGGAACAAGATCATCCCAGATGCTTCTCCAAGCCTCCCAACAAGTAAGAGATGTGCCCACTGAAGCAAGACTTTCTCTGGAAGTAGCAGGTTGCTGGACGCGGGGAGTTGCTAATGGAGACTATTTTGCGGCCTCATAATTCAGGATATTGGCAAGAGTGGACAACGATTTTTTTTCCTTCTCTTTCAGAAAAGCTTTCCCCTTTGAACAAAGCCTGTATTAATCAGAACTTCAAATCACGCATGGCAATCAATTGAGGCTGTTTAGGGCATTTACAGTAATTGATCTGCTACAAGTTCTTCACAAGTGGATTGCACTATACATACACATGTACTTTACAAAAAATTCAAAAGCCATTAGGATGTTCTCAACTTCCATCTGATAGTCTGAGGGCCATTGATTAGATGTGATCCTAGAAGTGAGCTGTGCCAGCAGCAGGGGGCATTTTGATTAGACAGGAAAAAAGAAGTTCCTCCGAAAGAGTTGTGAATTCTGGAAATGAGGGTCGAGGAAGGCTGAGCACACTTTATCATCATAATTATGAAAGTTGCCACAATGTACCAGATAATTCACAAGCAGTTACTATATCATCTAACGCTCATGAAACCAAATAAAGATTTCAAAATTCTTCACCCTGAGATTGGGCAACTGAGGCTAAGCAGGCAAGTGCTTTGCCCAAAGTGGCATTTAAATAAGTGCCAGAATTGTGATGTTAACTCAAGTTTCAGAACAAAACCACTGTGCTCCCATCCCCACCTGCTGTTCTCTATGCCACGTTGCCTCTCATTTAACTAGTTGGATGTATGTTTCCCAGAAGATTTTAGGGTAGGCCTGCCTCGATGCTGTGAACAGAGAAGAAAAACATCTTTGATCATTTCTAGCTGTGAATTTGTTTTTTTGGGTTTTTTAAGTTTTTATTTGTTTGTTTTTTGAGACAGAGTCTCACTCTGTCACCCAGGCTGGAGTGCAGTGGCACAATCTCGGCTCACTGCAACCTCCACCCCCCGGGTTCAAGGGATTCTGCTGGCTTAGCCTCCCAAGTAGCTGGGACTACAGACACGTGCCAACACACCTGGCTAATTTTTGTATTTTTGGTACAGACAGGGTTTCACCATGTTGGCCAGGCTGGTCTCGAACGCCTGACCACAAGTGATCCACCTGCGTTGGCCTCCCAATGTGCTGGGATTATGGGCGTGAGCCACTGTGCCCGGCTAGCTGTGAATTTGTAAGTCTTCCTTTCTCGAGTGTGGAATAGGTGTCTTTGTGGAAGAAACAGTCCAAACAAAAGCTGATAGGTGCTCCTTCCAAACAAAGGGCTGAAAGATGGAGAGTTTGGGAGCAGGGAGCACAGGTAAAGCAATGACACATCTAAGTAGGTGAGTGGCCTGGAGCAGTGAGAGCAGCAGCAAGGAAGCCAGTGCTCCCTGTTAGCTCAGATCCAGGGAACACAGGTAGAACCAGGCTGCAAAGGCAGCCATATGCAGTATGGGGAATACAAGTGGCTCAATCATAGAACCTCATCTGTTATTCTAGTACTGAGCAAGAAACCACTTTGGCAAACATTCTTAGGGAATTCCCCAGCTGAGAGTTCTTTTTGTCCTTACACAGAACCAGCTGAAACCACTGGGCCTTGGTTCTAAAGCCCAATACCACATTCCTGGTTCTAATCTTAACTTTTCTTTTAACAACTCATTTTCAAGTTCTTTTAACAACTCATTTTCTTGAGGGTCCTCAAGTATATGTAATCATTCTATGTTACAACTTACGATATGGATGGCAGATTCATAGGCACTTGATGTCAGAACCTAAGGTTTAACCACTACATCATGTGGCCTCCTGTGTAGTGATGAGCTGACTGTCGTCAGACAAACTCCTTACAGACTTTAAGTCAAATTTCTCTTCCTTCCTCTTCCTCTCTGTCCTCAAAAGACAACCAACTTAAAAAGAAGCATGAAACTAAAAATAGATCATAGACTCAAATATTTAACTTAAAGCTATAAAACTTCTGTAGCAAATGTAGGAGAAAATGTTTGTGACCTTGGGTGAAACAAAGATTCCTTAGATATGACATCAAAAGCATGATCGATAAAAGAAAACATTGACAAATTGGACGTTCAAAAAATTGAAAACCTCTGTTCTTCAAGGGACACTATTAAAAGAATGAAAAGATAAGTCACAGAATAGGAGAAAATATTTGTAAAACACAAAAGATATGTATCTAGAATATATAAACACTCTCTAAACTCAATAAGAAAACAAACTACCCAATTTTAAAAATGGCCATTAAAAAAAAAAAAGATATTAGAGAATGATATTAAGAAAATGCAAGTTAAAACTATGGCTGAAATATCACTATACAACTCTCAAAATAATTAAAATTTTAAAAGGAATTAAAAAAAAACAACAACAATTCCAAGTGCTGACGAGGATGCAGAGCAACTGGAACTCTCATGCATTGCTGGTAGGAATCCCCATTGCTACAGCTATTGGGGAAAACAGTTTGAACTTATAAAGTATTCAAGTCACTAATCATCAGGGAAATACAAATCATAACCACAGTGAGATATCATCTCATCCCAGTTAAAAAGCAAAAGATGAGGATGCAGAGAAAAGGGAACTCTCATACACCATTGGTAGGAATAAATTAGTATGGTTAAGTAGGGAGAACAGTAGGAAGGTTCCTCAAAAACCTAAAAATGGAACTACCATAGGATCCAGGAATCGCACTACTGGGTATTTATTTAAAGTAAAGGAAATCATGTCAAAGAGATATCTTTACCTCCCCTTTGCCCCACCACTCAGGTTTATTGCAGCATTATTCACAATAGCCAAGACACGGAATAAAACTAGGTGTCCAACAACAGATGAATGGATAATGAAAATGTGGTATATATACATAATGTGGTATATATACATAATGTGGTATATATACATAATGTGGTATATATACATAATGTGGTATATATACATAATGTGGTATATATACATAATGGAATGCTATCTGACCATAAAAAGAATGAAATTCTGTCATTTGTAGCAACATGGATGAGCATGGAGGACATTAGGTTAAGTAAAATAAGCCAGAAACAGTTAAACACTGCATATTCTCACTCAGATGCGGAAACTAGAAAAGTTAATCTCATAAAAGTGAAGAGTAGAATAGAATTTACTAGAGGCTGAGAAGGGTAGGAGGAAAAGGAGGATAGGAGAGATTTGTTAAAGAATACAGAATTACAGCTAGGTAGGAGGCATGAGTTTTAGTGTTCTATAGCACTGAAGGATGACTCTAGTTAACACTAACATATATTTTCAAATAGCTAGAAGAGAGGATATTGAACGCTCCCAACACAGATGATAAATGTTGAGATGAGGGACATGCTAATTACCCTGATCTGATCACTATACATTGTATGTATTGAAATATCACTATGTCCTCCATAAATACATACAATTATTATGTGTCAATTAAAAGTAAACCCTGCAATCCCACTATTGGGTATTTACCTAAGAAAAATGAAATCTTAGGTTCACACAAAAACTTGTATGCAAATTTTTAAAGCAGCTTTATTCATAATTACCCCAAACTTGAAACAATGTAAATATCATTCACTGGTGAATAAAAAAAAAAAAACCCTCTGGTTTAGCAATAAAAAGGAACACGCTACTGATACGCGCAACAACATGGATGAGTCTAAAATGCATCATGCTAAGAGAAAGCCAAAATTGAAAAGCTAAATACAGTGTAATGCTATTTTTTTGACATTCTGAAAAAGGAAAAACTACAGAAAACTGATCAGTGGTGGATAGGACTGAGGCGAGGGGGTAGGGGTGGATGATGAAAGAGCATGGGGGGATTTTTGGTTGCTATGGAAATTTTCTATATCTTGCTTGTGGTGGTGGGTATACGTGGATGTATACATTGGTCAAATTATAGAATGGTACACAAAAAGTGAATTATACCCCAATAACAGGAGGAGGAGGAGAAGGAGGAGAGGCAGTGACAGCCACCGAAGTAGCAGCATGACATCAAGTAGAGCTTTCTTGAGCAGAAGGAGACCATTATTGCAGGTTAGATCTGTTAACAATCTGGGCGGTGGCTGAGCCAGCATTTCCGCCAAGTATGAGGCAGACGCCTCAAATCTCACCATGATTTTCTTTTGTCTCACCCCCAAAGTGTTAATACACATAAGTTGTCGATAAAGGGAACTTCTGAGAAAATGCAGACGGGAGCAACAAATAATTCAAGGCATTAGTGCTGCACTACCTGCATTAATGTCTGGTCGTGGAGGGGAGAGCTACAGGTTCCCTGACATTTGCTTTTATAGACAGAACTGGGGTTTCTAGGACCTACTGGCAAGAGGGAGAAATAAATGTCCATGAACCTGGTCTGACAGATTCTCTATAACTTAAAGCATTGGCCTCTAAATTATCCATCCTCTATGCCAGGCAAATGCCATTTCCTTTTCTTTTATAGCTTTTGACTTTTCTGTTTAAAGGACACTTGGTATTCTTTCCTCCCCAGTTGTGATGTGAGTTGGGTGGAGGGATGAGGGAAACAAGAAAGAAGATAATTCTCAGTATTGCTGATGGGTGAGATGAACAAGATGCGGGAAGCATCTTTGCATCTGCTGGGAAGGGTACAGGCTCAAGGAAACAGGGATGCGACGGGTGGCAAACAAAAAGCTGCCAAGTGGGCCGTTTGGCATCCTTGGGAAGAAAAATTATATATTTATTATTTGTTTGTTTATTTATTTATTTATTTATTTTTGAGACGACGTCTCACTCTCCTCACCCAGGCTGGAGTGCAAGTGGTGTAATTACAGCTCACTGCAGCCTCAACTTCCTGGGTTCAGGAAAATGACATTTTTAAAGAGGCAGTATATGAGTGGCAAAAATTTGGGTCTCTAGAGTCAGGAAGATGTGTCTTCAAGTCCTGGCTGCTTATGTGCTGTATGACTGCTCTAAGCCCTGGTTTCTTCATTAATTGTTGTGGATGCAATAGTATCTACATTACAGAGAGGTTGCATGGGTAGAACCTATAAGTATGCAGATCTTATCACAGTACCTGGCACGTGGCTATGCTTAACAGCTATCTAAAGTATTTTTTATTGCCAATTTGATCTTGACTGTATAGATCCAGGAACATTAAACAAAAGGCTGAATAATGACCCAGGCTATCCAGATCAGGTATGCAGTCAACCTGATTGGCTGACACCATAGCTTCCGTTTGTTTTCTTTTTCCCTGTCACTAGCATGGTTAGGGCTTAACCCACCTGCATACACATTTAGCAAACACAATCAGGCAGTTAGTCTGAATTGCCTAAGTATAAACTATCTTCCAGTTTGATGTTTCTGGGCTTAGACAATGAAATAAAATGTGCAAAGCTCTTCTGGTTACTTAAGCTAGACTGTCCCAAGACCCTTGTCTAAATGCAAAAGTGGCTAGCTTCTCTACATCTGCTAGGAGATCAGGGTGGCAAGTAATACCATGAAGTACCTACTGAGATTCTCTTAGAAGCTGCAGGGAGCAAGGCTTTAGATATGAGTTTAGGAAATCAGACCATAGAGCCCCAGGCCCCAAACTCTGTGCCAGGGTGCCCTGGGGTGCCACAGTAAACTCACAGAGGTATCTCAGGATATTTTTAAGTTTCTAAGGAAATACAGTGATATCTGACATCTATCAGACACTGTGCAAAATGATAGCTAGAAGTAGTCCACAATTCTAACATTAGATCACTCAGCATTTCTTTCGGGGAGATCATGGTTTTGCAAAGCTAGATTATTGGTTGTTGTGAGAAAAAGACAAGCACTGTGCAAAAATCAAGGTGAAACAGGAAATGGGATAGTGTTTTTCTAATTCCACAGTTTGAGACATCGTGCAGTGCCCAATAGCACATCTATCCCATTAGCAAGTAATTGTTGTTATTCAAGAAGGAAACTAAATGCTATTTCTCTTTCAATTTATGTGTATTATTATTATTTTTAAATGGCTAGAGTGTTGTTAAGACATAAATACCCACGGAGTTTTTTGGACCTAACTACTTAATAAATAGAACTGTTAGGTATTTCTTTTGGCCTATAGGACTGTGAAAACACTTTCCTAAAACATTAAGGATGCCATGAATGGAAAAGGTTTGGGAACCTCTGCTAGAAAGTACCCTGAAGATGCTTTCACATTGTACACATTGTAGTACACATTGGCTGATAGCTGTCCCCAGCCCAAGTCCTGGAAACAGCTAAGTATGAGTAAGCTAGATGACCACAGAATGTTAAAAATGCAAAAGGCCTTTAAAATCCTCCTGGTTAGCACCCTCAGGCTAGCAACCAGAGTCCTTGAGATGCCTTGCCCAATCCTATTTTTTCTTTGTCTGGGTTGCAAAAGGAGGGAGAAGGGAAAGGCCAATGTGTGTGGAGGGGGCAGTAGTGGAGAGGTGCAATCCCTGAGAAAGCAAATAGGGCTGACTCAATAAGAGAAGGTGACATCGAATCACGAAAATCACACACCTGCTGTGTCTTCCCCCATCAGTAGGGTGGGTGGGCAGTGGATCAAGAGTAACCTGAGGGGGCTTTAAGGATGCCTTAACATAGACAACCCTGAATTCTTCATAAGAGAAAGAAAGGTGGAAGCAGGGTTCTGGCACGTGGGGACTGTGCTGCTGTGTTCCAGTGTCTGGCTCCAAGAGGCTCTTGCCTTGTTTGTTTGTTCCTCAAGGGTAGGCTGGGACATTCATATCACAAGAAATCACCTCTATCTAAATTAAATCTCCCCTGTCTCAAAGAGGCAGGGCGGGATCTGCAAGGGGAGTGGTTTGGGTTTTGTATTCTTGCGTGCCTAGCATTAAGTCAGCATCTGCATCAGTAGTACATGGCTGAACAGGAGTGTCCATGGCTGTTTGAAAAGGGGAGGTGGGTTGGGGTGGAGGGTGGCGGGGGCTTGTGGCAAGAAAGGGAAAGGATTCAGAGCCCTGGGGCAGGTTGTCAAGGTCAGGTGTGGAGGTGCTGCAGTTTACCTAAATGTCAGGAGATGGGCTACCTGTCAGATAATGCAAACTCAATTATATCTCTAGGGATTCTAGAGGTCAGCAGAGCTGAGCCTGGTTATCTGTTTGCAAGACACAAAGCAATATCCAGATAAATTGCTAATGAAAGAGAGCTATGTAGACCTCTGTTCGGCCACCTAGAGACTGGTATATGGAAGAGACATATTTACAAAGTTCAGAGCTTAAAGGAGGCAGCCTGGTGTGGCGGAAATAGTTCTGGTTTAGGCATTAGGCATTGAGGGACGTTAGTCCTGCTCAGCTGCTAATTAGCTGTGTGACCTCTGGTAACTCATTTTGCTTTTTCAGACATCAGCTCCCCATCTGCCCACACACAGGGCTGCTGAGAGGCCAGGGTAACATAATAAATGTGACCATTTATCAAATGCTTTCTAAGTGCCACGTGCAGTTTCAAGCACTGCACATACTTTATCTCATTTAACCCTCACAGGCCCTATCTGAGGTAGAGATTAACATAATGTATAATCAAAAGTAGAGATGAGGAGGCTGAGGTCATGTTGATGGAACTCATGTGCTCATCTCTCTGAGCACCATGGCATAGTTGGGAGGCTTAAGTGTTCCTAAGACTCTGATGTAGTCGATCTGGGGTGGGGCCCATATATTTGTGATTTAATAAGTGCCTGGGTCATTCTGATGTGAGTGGTTCATGAAGTCCTGTTTAAAAAATACAATTGTCCCTACGTATATGTGGGGTATTGGTTCCAGTGTACCCAGATCTGCACATACTCCAGTCCCACAATCTGCCCAGCAGAGCCCATGTACACAAAAAAGTCAGCCCTCCATATGTGTGAGTTTTGCATCCTGAGATACTTTATTTTTGATCCACCTTTGGTTGAGAAAAATACCCCTATATACATGGACCTGTGTAATTCACACCCATGTTGTTCAAGGGTCAACTGTATTTCCCTAAGCCATATTGCCCCACTTCCACTCTAGAAACCATAACGTGACTTACCCATATGAGGAAGGTGTTGACCAGAGGACACCTTGGAGTTCAGAGGCCATCAAATGTAGGTTGAGAGAGGAACATCAGAGAATGTGTGTCCTTCTGGGGTCCCAGATCCTGGCATGGTCTCAGACTGTCACCCTTGGAAGCCTATAACATGTGCAGTGAGGCTGCCAGGGCAGCTTGGTGGTTGAGTGGTTCTTCTGCACAGGAAGGTAAGTAAGGCCCATGGTTCCTACCCACTCTGTCCATCACTAATTACCTCATCTCATGTGTGCAATTAGTTTAGGATTTTTGCCTGTAGTATCTTCTTTGATCCTTTCACAACCACTTTATAAAATGTATAAGATTTCCCTATTTTATAGACAAGGAAATTGAAGTTCTGAGAGGATAAATGCCTCACCTCAGAGGTCTGGTCTCACAGCTGGTAAGTGGTGGGGTGTGGACTGGAACCCCAGTCTTCTTGCATTAAGTCAAGTGCTCTTTTCAGTACCCCATGGCTGTTTACCAATGACAGCCCCACCATAGGCACAATGGGGCAACAGAAGGAATGGGAAGCAGCATCCTTGCCCTTGAGTAGTTTATAATTTAGTTGGATGATAGGAGTAATGCAACCAGAGGATAATAGAGTGGTCTGGCTGACCCAAAGAGAGCCAAGAACAAATTCAGCCATTAAGAACCTTTCATAATCGGGCATATGTCTGTGTTTGTGATTCAGAAACAAGACTGACTGCACCACATTCAAAGGTGATGTTTCCTTAGGCTGGATAGGCTGATTTAGGTCTCCTCTGCTTATAATCCTTCCATGGTCCCCCCTCCTCATAGGATGAAGTCCAGAGCCCACCTCCCTATCCAGCCTCATCTCGTGCCATACTGCCCTTCTCTGTGTTCTTACAGTTTCCCTTGTCTGGGGTACTTGTTCCTTGCCATGCACCTGTCCCTTACCTGTCCCTTTCCTCCATCACCTCTTTTTTCCAAAAGCACCTCCATCACCTCACCTTTCCAAAGAGAGGTGATGGGGGAAAGGGACAGGTGCATGGCAAGGAACAAGTACCCTTATCGAACATTCAGGTCTCAGTTTAAATCCCCCTTTCTCAGAGAACCCTTCTTTCCCATTCCCTCACAGTGAGATAGGTCCCCAACCTGTTGTATGCCCACAGAGCATCCTGGACATTTTCTGTGAAGCACTCATCACAAATCTAATTGAAATTTAATATTTGTCTCCTCTACTTCAAGTTCCACGGGTCAAATATTGTGCCTATTTCATTAACAACTATATCCCTAGTACCCAGTGACTGGCACATAATACAGATTCAAATATCTGTTGCATCAATGAATGAACTAATAAATGTGGGGACAGGTGGGTGGTTGAAACATCGAATGAGTAGTAGAAACTGAAAGATCTGTGTTTCAGGGATGCAAGCCAGTATACAATGCTCATTTCAGTTCAGTGAATTTTTACTGGCAGTGTGCTAGGCAAAGAACAAAAAGATGAATAAGACCTGGTTCCTTACAATCAGGCTTACAAAAGGGAGAGATGCAAACAAAGGACAGTAGCATATGTGTTTTCTTTTTGAAAAATTGGTATACTTAGCTTTCCCAAAGGTTAGAGCCCAAAGCCAAATGCCCATGGTTAAGAATTCTTTCCAATGGCCTGCATTAGACCCCTTCAGGATATAAGAGGAAAAAGGAGAGGTCTTCAGAGAGGATATTTGGAAGGAGACAAGGCCTTCAAAGCCAGAGGCAGGTCCCATGATATCTGGTACCTAATAATTTTGGTATTGCAGCATTTGTACCATCTGGGAACTTGTTGGAAGTACAAATTTTCGGGCCCTAACCTAGATTCACCAAGTGAGAAACTCTGGGGTGGAGGGACCCAGCCAGTGATGCTGGAGCTGCCTCGTATAAACCCATGAAAACAGATGATGCACATTCCTTTCCAATTCCATGGTCAGTGAGGTCATATTGGTAGTTTGAGCCTGGCTGTTGTGAGAGTATTTGCACCACAGAAATTGGCAAATGCAAATTAGATCTTTTCTTCCTAAGAAAGCCAATTGTTAAAAATTTACCAGTATTCCATTTGCCCAGAAATCCATGCTTTAACAGGGCCTCCAGGGGATTCTGGTATCTTCTAGTTTTTCCTTCCCAATGCTAAGGGCATCCAAAATTTAGGTTTGTGTGGATTTCATGAGCCTGAGCTTGGATGCCTCCAGAAATTGTTTGTTCCTGGTTATGACATGAGTATTAGTAAGGGAACAACTGTTCCTCCTCCAGGGATCTCATCTCCTGCTCCCCTTTCTTTCACCCCATAAAAAGGAGGATACTGAGGGTGAGAAGTGACTGTAGAATGGCTGTTTTTGTCTCCACGTCCAACATTGTTGAAAAGAGACCTGATTTGCAAACAAAGATTATATAGCTGTGAATCTCAGCAGGCTAAAAACAGCCCCATTGTGTCTAGATAGCAAATTGAGGCCTTTTTTAAAAAACAAAATTCAGAAACACTCTGGATGACAGTGGTTTATTGAAATAACCAAATCCTGAATTCTGCCTGTATCAGCACTGTGCTCATCACACACCTGCATATGGTCCCTCAGAACAGACTGATGTGCATTAAGCAAGGAAAGATGAATACAGAAGTAGACAAAAGTTGCTGTGAGCAGTTACATCTCCCACTACTGCAGAGGGGTGAGGGTGGGAGGTAGAAAGGCTTCTATCTTTTAAAACAAAAAATGCTTCATCTGTTTAATCAAATGTATTATTCATTGAACCAGGTATATTGGCTAATGAACCAGATAGTTCCCCTAATGAGTCAAGCAGATCACCTGCTGAAAACATTGTCAATACTAATTCATTCGTCAGCTGTGTTCTGTCTTCTAAAGGCAAGGGGTTTAACCTGGGTCTTGGCTCCAGCCCCAACCGATGCTTATTTTGTGGCTAGTCTTGATCAGAAATAAAGTATGTACTTACATTATGGAGGAGCGAAAACTAGAAATTTGATTGACCACCTATAAAGAGCGTCTTATACACTTGCTGCCATTGTTACTTCCAGGGGTTGCAATCCAGACCCCAAGAGAGGGTTCTTGGATCTCAAGCATAAAAGACTTTGGGACAAGTCCACAGAATAGGCAGAGCAGCTCCAAGGGCTGCTGGTTGGCTATTTCTATGGTTTTATTTTATCATATGCTAAATAAGCGGTGGATTATTCATGAGTTTTCTGGGAAAGGGGTGGGGAATTCCTGGAACTGAGGGTTTTTCCCCGATTAGGACCATATAGGGTAAATTCTGGCTATTGCCATGGTATTTGTAAACTGTCATGGCTCTGGTGGGGGTGTCTTTTAGCATGTTAATTTATTATAATTAGCCTATAATGAGCAGTGAGGACAACCAGAGGTCACTTTTGTTCCCATCTTGGTTTTGGTGGATTTTGGCCGTCATCTTTACTGCAGCCTGTTTTATCAGCGGGATCTTTGTGACTTGTATCTTGTGTCCACCTTCCATCTCATCCTGTGACTAAAATTGCCTCACCTCTTGGAAATACAGTCCAGCAGGTCTCAGCCTCATTTTACCCAGCCCTATTCAAGATGAAGTCACCTGTTCAAACACCTCTGACACAATCTGTAATAATTTGTTGCCAGGAAATAGAAATGGGTGTTCATTTCATTGATTTTGTAATACAATACCTGGCACTTAGTTGATCCTTGATAAGGTTTGTATATATGGACAGAGAAGATGGATGTATTAGTCCATTTTCACACTGCTGATAAAGACATACCCAAGACCGGGAAGAAAAAGAGGTTTAATTAGACTTACAGTTGCACGTGGCTGGGGAGGCCTCAGAATCAAGGCACTTCTTACATGGCAGCATCAAGAGAAAATGAGGAAGATGCAAAAGTGGAAACACCCAATAAAACCATCAGATCTTGTGAGACTTACTCACTACCACAAGAACAGTATTGGGGAAACTACCCCCATGAATCAAATGATCTCCCATCAGTTCCCTCCCATAACACATGGGAATTATAGGAGTGTAATTCGAGATGAGATTTGGGTGGGGACCCAGCCAAACCATATTATTCCACCTGTGGCCCCTCCAAATCTCATGTCCTTACATTTCAAAACCAATCATGCCTTTCCAACAGTCCCCCAAAGTCTTAACTCATTTCAGCATTAACCCAAAAGTCCACAGTCCAAAGTCTTGTCTGAGACAAGGCAAGTCCCTTCTGCCTATGAGCCTGTAAAATCAAAAGCAAGCTAGTTACTTCCTAGATACAATGAGGGTACAGGTATTGGGTAAATACAGTCATTCCAAATGGAAGAAATTGGCCAAAACAAAGGGGTTACAGGGCCCATGCAAGTCCTTGCAGAATCCAGCAAGGCAGTCAAATTGTAAAGCTCCAAAATGATCTCCTTTGACTCCAGGTGTCGCATCCAGGTCATGCTGATGCAAGAGGCGGGTTCCCATGGTCTTGGGCAGCTCCACCCCTATGGCTTTGCAGGGTGCAGCCTCCCTCCCAGCTGCTTTCACAGGCTGGCATTGAGTGTCTGTGCTTATCCATGCAAATGGTGCAAGCTGTTGGTTGATCTACCATTCTGGGGTCTGGAGGATGGTGGTCCTCTTCTCACAGCTCCACTAGGTCATGCCCTAGTAGGGACTCTGTGTGTGAGGGCTCTGACTCTACATTTCCCTTCTGCACTGCCCTAGCAGAGGTTCTCCATGAGTGCCCCGCCCCTGCAGCAAACTTCTGCCTGGGCATCCAGGCATATCCATACATCTTCTGAAATCTAGGTGGAGGTTCCACAGTTCTTGACTTCTGCGCACTCAAAGGCTCAACACCACGTGGAAGCTGCTAAGGCCTAGGGCTTCCACCATCTGACGTCACAGCCTGAGCTCTACATTGGTCTCTTTTAGCCATGGCTGCAGTGGCTGGGATGCAGGGCACCAAGTCCTTAGGCTGCACACAGCACCCTGGGCCTGGCCCACAAAACCATTTTCTCCTAAGTTTCTGGGCCTGTAACTGGAGAGACTGCTGTGAAGACCTCTGACATGCCCTGGAAACGTTTTCCCCATTGTCTTGAGGATTAACATTTGGCTCGTCGTTACTTAGGCAAATTTCTGCAGCCTGCTTGAATTTCTCCTCAGAAAATGGGTTTTTCTTTTCTATCACATTTTCAGGTTGCAAATTTTCTGAACTTTTATGCTCTTCTTCCCTTATAAAACTGAATGCCTTTAACAGCACCCAGGCCACCTCTTGAATGGTTTGCTGCTTAGAAATTTCTTCCACCAGATACCCTAAATCATCTCTGAAGTTCAAAGTTCCACAGATCTCTAGGGCAGGGGCAAAATGTTGCCAGTCTCTTTGTTAAAACATAACAAGAGTCAACTTTGCTCCAGTTCCCAATAAGTTCCTTATCTCCATCTGAGACCATCTCAGCCTGGACCTTATTGTCTGTATAGCTATCAGGCTTTTGGTCAAAGCCATTTGACAAGTCTCTAGGAAGCTCCAAACTTTCCCACATTTTCCTATCTTCTTCTGAGCCCTCCAAACTGTTCCAACCTCTGTCTATTACCCAGTTCCAAATTCACTTCCACATTTTCAGGTATTTTTTCAGCAACACCCCACTCTACTGGTACCAATCTGTATTAGTTCATTTTCATGCTGCTGATAAAGACATACCTGAGACTGGGAAGAAAAATAGGTTTAATTGGACATACAGTTCCACATGGCTGGGGAGGCCTTAGAATCATGGCAGGAAGTGAAAGGCACTTCTTACATGGTGGCTGCAAGAGAAAATGAGGAAGATGCCAAAGTGGAAACCCCTGATAAAACCATCAGATCTTGTGAGACTTATTCACTACCACAAGAACAGTATGTGGGAAACCACCCCCATGATTCAAATTATCTCCCACCAGGTCCCTCCTACAACATGTGGGAATTATGGGAGTAAAAGTCAAGATGAGATTTGGGTGGGGGCACAGCCAAACTATGTCAATGGGTAAATAAATGAATGAATGAATGAATAAACAAATGTTTTAAAAAATGTGGTCTTACAGATTTTACTTTTATTTGCAAGTCTGATTTAGTTTTTCTGCTAAGGCAAATTCTACCTTGCCTCTCTTAAGGAACTGCAGAAGTTTTCTGCTGACTTTCTTAATTCTGTGGAACCAGCAGGGTTATTGCTATAACTAATATCTATAACTATGGTTGATGTATCAGGTTGAGAATTTGAAATACACAGGGCATGAGTTTTCCATTTTGTTTGCCTTAGAGGGGACAAAGATGAAAGCTCATCAGGGTTTTTACTTTCCTGCTGCCAGTCCTGAGTTGGGGAAGGTGCTCTTACCCATCACTCTAGCCATCCAGGCCACATTGCTCCCAATTATATAAAGAGATCCATAGTGTATAAACTCCCCACACCACTCCAGACAGATTGGATTTTCATACCCTCAAGCCTCATAGGAAACTGGGGGGACAGGGGCCATACTGAGCCCATGCTCTATGACGGATATTATATATATTAGCTCATTTAATCCTCTCAACAAGGATTGTAAAATAATTATCTCATTTTACAGAGAAACAGATGGGTTTGGGGGGAGTTAAGTATTATAACTTTTTCAAGATGACATAGTTCAATAATAATAGAACTGACATTTGAACAGACTTCACATTCTTTTTACTTTTCCAACTTGCTTTTTGGTCCTTGAGAATTCTAATTATAGAAAAACACAAAAAAACTAATATACACCTGTGTAAGAATGTGAGCAAGCAAAACTTTAGTACAGGTTCAGCTGTGTTAAGCAGCAGAAGTCAGGTTAGCAATGAGCAAGGAAAGTTACTGCTGCCTAAGTAACTTAGTGGGTTGTTGGGGCTTTGCCGACAAATGATACCACTTCCTAGACTCATGGGCACTTGCTGAGATGCCTAGAGTCCTCCCTGCTGTTGGGCTTTCCTCCTTGCCTGATACCAACTGTGAACAATTTTCCTAGTTACATGATATGACCACTAATCCCATTATAACTATTACTACTGCTAAAAACTAGCAGCTAACATTTATTGAGTACTTACTATGCTATGAAATCTGAATCAGCTTCTTACTGATTAGTGTTTTCATTGTGTATTTGTTACCATCCTTTGCTTTTAACTATTTAGATCTTTATAGTTGATGTGGGTTTTTTGAAGATAGCATGTATTTGGTCTTTCCTTTTTATTAAATCTGACAATCTTTGCTTTTCAGTTGTGATGTTTAGACCTTTCATGTTCAGTGTAAATATTGGTATGGTCACATTTAAACGTGAAGTCTTGCTAGTTGTTTTCTATTTTCCAATCTGTTGTTTGTTACTTGTTTCTTTCTTTTTCTGCCTAATTTTGAATTGAGTACTTTATTGTAATTCCATCTTATTTTCACGCTTGACTTTTTAGTTATACCTGTTTCTGAATTTTTGTTAGTGGTTGCTTTATGGTTTACAGTGTACCTCGAATTTATCACAGTCTGTCTTAATATAATATACCACTTCATGTAAGCTTGAGAACCTTTCCAGTGTCATCTTCCATTATTCTCTCTTCAATCCTTTGTCCTATTGTTTTCATACACTGTATTTCTGCACATGTTATAACCCACTAACTGTACTACTTTTGCTTTAGACAGCCAATTTCCTTTTAAAGTGAATGAAATAAGAAAAATAAAGACTTTTATGATTACCTTTATTTTCACCATTTCTAGCACTTCTTGTTTCTTTATGTAGGTCTAAATTTTCTGTTTGATATCATGATTCATCTGTGGAAGGACTTACATTTCTTGTAGTGCAGTTCTACTTTCAATGCATTCTGTCTGCTTTTGTTGGCCTCAAAAAACCTATTTTGCATGTGTTTTCAAAAGATATTTTTGTTGGGTAGAATTCTTCACTGATTATTTTGCCTACTTATCCAATTAACTACTGAGAGTGACAGTAAAATTCCTAGCTAAAATTGTGGATTTGTCCATTTTTACTGTATTCTGTCAATTTTCTGCTTCATGTATTTGTATGATTTGCTCCTAGATTGCTATGTCTTGTGGTAAATTGACCCCTTTATCTCTAGGAAATATTTTTCTCTGTCTCTGGTAATTATCATCAACTTGAAACCTACTTTGTCTGATATTAATATAGCCACATCAGCTCTCATACGCTTTGCATTTGCAGGGTGTATTAGTTATCTATTGCTGTATAACAATATTACCACACACTTAGTGACTTCAAGCAAATTGATTTTTCAGGGTTTCTATGGATCAAGAGTCTGGTCATAGCTTAAATGGGTCCTCTGCAAGGTTACAGTCATGATTATTGACTAGGTGTTTTGCTGGCAGTTGACTGTAGGACAGAGTCCCTCAGTCCAACAGG
This sequence comes from Homo sapiens, assembly GCF_000001405.40. NCBI lineage: Eukaryota > Metazoa > Chordata > Mammalia > Primates > Hominidae > Homo > Homo sapiens. Next base: position 208,520,461 of record NC_000001.11, read on the forward strand.
ATGCAAGTAACTGAACTTTGCCAATAACCACTTGAGTTTGGATGTGGATCCTTCCTGTCAAACCTGGAGATGAGAACCCAGCCCTGGCCAATAATAATTGCATTCTTGCAGACAACTCATCTAAGCCATGACCAGACTCCTGACCCACAGAAACTGAATATTCAATGTGCTTTAAGCCACTAAGTGTGTGGTAATATTGTTAGGCAGCCATAGATAACTAATGCACCATGCAAACACTAAGCATGAAAGCTGATGTGGCTATATTAACATTAGACAAAGTAGGTTTCATGTTAAAGAGAATGACTAGAGACAGAGAGAAGCATTTTCTAAAGAGAAGAGAAGGTATAAGCTGAAGTAAATAATATTTACTCCATGTGTTAGTCACTCTTAATTCCTAGCTGATTGCTGGCAGGAGGTTACCCTCAGCTCTTTGCCATATGGGCCTCCCCAGCATGCCTGCTTGCTTCGTCAAAGCCAGAAAGAGAGTCTCCTAGCAAGATAAGTGTTCCATGATTACAATGCATAATACTGTAAGTGACATCTCAACTTTGCCATATTCTATTGATTAGAAGCAAGTCTTTGGTCTTGTCCACACTCAAGGGGCAGGGATTACACAATGGTATGAACATGGGGTGTCAGGAATTGTGGAGGCCACTTTCAAATATGCCCATCCCATATGGTACACATTTCTCTGCCCTTTGACTTTCAACCTGTGTCTTTATGTTTAAAGTGTGCTAGTCATAAACAGCATACGACTCACTCTTCCTTTGTTATCAAGTCTGGAAATCTCTACCTTTTAATTGGTGCATTGGTTCATTTGAATTTAACTTAATTATTGATATGTTTGTATTTGTCTATCATCTTGCATGTTTTAAAAACTGTGTTCCATTGGCTTTTTGTTACCCAACTCCCCATTTCCTACCATTTTTTTTTTTTGTGAATAATAGCAGTTTTTAGTTTTCTACTTTATCTCCTCCGTTATCTTTTTGTATTTTTTTTGTTTTATTTGTGTGTATGTACATATGGTTGGGTAAGAAGTTTTAATATGTCTTTTTATCTTATCAGAGTCTGTCTTTTAAAAAAATTATACTACTTTTTAAACAATGTAAAAACCTTAGAACAATATACTTCCAATCGCCATTCTCCTGCCTTTTGTGTTTCTTTTATCATCTATTTCACTTTTGCATAGATTAAAACTCCTCAATATATCGTTACAATGTTTACTTTAAACAGTCAGCGGTCTGATTTATGGACATATTTACCATTCCTCATGTTTTTCATTCCTGCAGAACTAGGTTTTTACCTGGTGTCATTTCCCTTCAGTGGGAAGAGCTTCTTTTGCATTTCTTATCATGCACATCTGCTGAAGCCAGAGAATCTAAGCTTTTGTCTGCTTGAACTTGTCTTTATTTTGCCTATATTTTTGAGAGATATTTTCTCTGGGTATGGAATTCTAGGTTGATAATTTTTGTTTTTTAAATGTTTTTCTTACAGCGCTCTAAAAGTGTCTTTCCATTGTCTTCTGGTCTGTATTATTTCTGATGAGAGGGCAACTGTCATTCTTATTTTTTTCTCTGCATGTAATGTGGTTTTTTATTTCCTGTCTGATTTCAGATGTGTTTAAATGTAGTTTTGTTTGTATTTATTCAATATGCTGCTTATTATGGATTCTTGTTTTTTATTCATTTTGGAAATTTCTTAGCCTCTTCAAACATTTCCTCTGCCCTTTTTTTGTGTCTTTTTTCACTCTGGAGTTTTAATTACACAAATGATAGTTCATTTAATAATGTGCCATAAAGCTCAAATGCTCTGTTCTTTTTTTTAAAACATTTTCCTTTATATGTTTCATTTTGAATAATTTATATTGACTCGTTATCAAATTCACTAATTATTTTCTCTGGTCTTGTCGGCTGATGACTCATTGAAAGATTCTTCATTTCTTGCATGGTATTTTTTTTCTTAGCATTTCCATCTGGTTTTTCTTTTTTCATAGAAAGTATAAACTGTCTCTGCCAACTTTCCTCATCCACACTCTCATGTTGTTCTTCTTTTATAGACAATTGTGTAACATATTGATCATATAACATGTAACGATAACTTAGTTATCTTAAAGTCTTTCTCTCATAATTCCAACATCTAGAACATCTCCGTGACTGCTTCTGTTGACTCTTTCCTCAGGGGACACGGAGTGGGCCACATCTTCTTGCTTTCTGTGGATCTCATAGTTATCTTGCTTTTAATTTTGAAATAATTTAAAACTTACAGAAAAGTTGCAAAAATAGTATAAAGAGTTCCAGTATATCTTTTGCCCAGATTCCTCTGATGTTAAGCCCTTATATAACCATGGTACAGTGATCAAAGCTAAGAAATTAATATTGGTATAATACTATTCATTAAACTACAGTCTTTACTCGGATTTCCCTAGTTTTTCTTTGCCATGATCCAATAAAAAATATTGTATTTCATGTAGTTGTAATGTCTCCTTAGTCTCCTCCAATCTGTGAAAGTTCCCAAGTCTTTACTTGTCTTTCATGTCCTTGCCATTTCGTATCATGACTTTTGATTGAATGTCAGACATTACTGATAAAAATACAGTAGAACTCCTTGGTACCAAAATCTGCAGTAGCCAGGATTCTCCTGACTATATAGGATATATATATATATATATATGTTCTATGGGTTCCATTTGCATGATTATATATACATTATATCTATGTTTAATATTTAAATACTTATATATTTAAATAACATATAAATATAATATATAAATAATATTTATTTAAAAATATATAAATAACTCACGTAACCATGCAAACAGAACCAATAGAATATATATATATTTATATAATCATGCAAACAGACTCGTATATATATATGAGTCAATTAACTGACTCGTGCAATCATGGAGGCTGAGAAGTCCCGAGATTTGCAGCCAGCAAACTGGAGACTCAGGAGAGCCCATATGTAGTTCCAGTTTGAGTCTGAAGAAATGAGAACCAAGAGAGAGTCCATTCTATAGTGATAAAAATCATCATGTGTCTCTTCTCTCCTAGGAGGGCCATGTGATTTTTTTGAATTTTGTTTCATTATGTTTTTTGGGAGAGTGTTTGGCTCCTTGATTGGATTAAAAATTGTAATTTTGTAGGCAAACCATCTTGTTCTTATTGTTCGAGTAGCACCAACATTTTCTTGTGATTTTCTGTATCTCACATAGACTTTGAAGTCAATCTTTGTCATTTGAAGCCTCTACATTTTTTTAAGACACAGAATTACCTAGAATATTCTGACTGACCCATTGGAGGTTTATATGTTTTGGTCCCCTATACCTCTAACTCCTTTATCCATGAATCTGGTTTCTCCTCTACCTTAAGTCAACAAACATCAATTCTCTTACTGGCTTCTATAAGAAATCAACTTGCATCAAACTTTTAGTGGAAATTCACTAATATTTTAAGTGATCATTTGGAAGAAGGTCATTTTATAAAACCTTGTCACTCCGTCATCTTTTCTTTTCCCTTCTTCTTTTCTCTTCTCTCTGTTCTTCATCCTCTCCCACCTGACTCACTCTGAAGATGCAGATCACCTTTTAGTTTATGTTCCCACACTTGCATGCTAAGGAATTCGGTAAAACAAAGTACCTTCCATGCAACAGGATCTATCCTCTTGAGGAAGCAACTGGGCTTATAATTGCAAAATTTTCTTGTTATAATATAAAATAAATCAATGTCTGTATCACAAAACAGATTAGATTATATGACTCTTAAGACCCCATCAATCTTGGGAACCATATAAAAACATAGAGATGGGAAAGGAAAGAAGAAAGTGGAAAGAAAATCAATATTTATTGAATGGCTACTATATATTCCATGGTAATAATAATAACACTTCTCAATATTTATTTAATGTTTGTTAATTGCCAGGCAGTCTACTATGCATTAATATTAATTATGTAATTGAATATTACCTATGGGATAGATCCTATTATCATCTCCATTTTGTAGATGATGAAATTGAGGTTTCGAAAGATTAGGTTAATCGCTCAGTCATCCAGATAGTCATTAGTAGAGTACAGAGCAGGAGTTGAACCCTGGCTAGTCTGACTCAAGCTCAGTGCTTAATCACTAACACAAAAATGCCAAGCACTTTCTGTATACTCTTCACAATTCTCACAACCCTCAAAGGTAAGTACTTTTACCTCGTCATTGCACAACTGAGAAAGCTCAGAGACGGTAACACTGATTTGCTCTTGGTCACACATCCAATAAGTGTCAGGGTGCCAGAATAAGACCAATCCTGTGTACCTCCTGAGGCTCTGCTCTTTCCATGGTACCCTGGGCACTCTGGCTGGTTGCTGTTTACATAACGGTGCTAACACTGCTTTGCCAGAAGGGAAAGCAGTTTACGAAGAAATTCTGCCATGAGGGAAGAGGTCAGAGATTCTGGGCTAGAACCTAGGTCTGTGGCTTCTTAGTCCCTGTCATTTTATTTACCTCCAAAGAAATAGCTTCTTTTTTTTTAATTTCAAAGCTGGTGGGCAGTTCTCACTCTCTTGTGACTCTCTTGGGACAAATCATCCGCTGACAAAAGGAGCTGGAGACGCAATAGCATGCAACTAAGTCAATACCAAGCATGCTTAGGCTAATGTAACCCTGAACCAGACCAGCAACTGTGGAATGAGCAGCTGAGTGTGCAGTGACGGTAAGTGGGGAAACAGATGTACTTTGACTGGAGTCAGCAGAACATCTGGCGAACCTGGCCCATTGCTTCGTAATTAATCTTGGTGTTGAATCTAATGACACAATGGGATTGAAAAATTGAGCAATGTGATTGGACACATTTTGATAGTTTAATTTTCAATAACACATGGTCAGAGCTTGTTCGCATAATTACTAAATAGATTAATATGCCAATATCTCTGACCAGCTGGAAGGGAAAGATTTAGGCTTTCAAAGATCTCTGACGGGCCTTTAAATTAAAGCTGAGGTTCTGGAGAGAATGAAGGTGCAGGCCTCCTGAGAATAAGAAGTCAAATCAGGGCTAGGGATGAAGGCCTTGAAAACAATGATTCTTGTTATTACCTCAGAAATAAACCTTCCATGAGTCGCCTTCCTTTCGAATGTCAATTTGTTTGCAGATCTACTGCATCATGAGTTACAGGAAAGTTGGTACACCTGTCATCCTCCCATAAGCTGTGTGAAGTCACTAGTACTATGCTCATGTTACAGGTCAAGAAAAACCTTGTGTAAATGAATCAACAGTGCCAGAGAAATGGTACCAATTATCCCCTGTGTGTTGTGGTCTCCTCTATCAGGCTGAGTGTTTCAGACACAATCCAGTTGCAGTTATCTGCAAGACCTGAAAGAAGGAGGCTAAGTTTCTCACACCTGTAATCTTCAGTCTATGCTCTGTAGCACGCAGAAGCCAGGTAGCTGATATTATTTTCCCTCATGGAAAGAAGAGGGCAAAGGTTTGTCACTGAGAGAAGTTAGGATGAGAACCAAGGCAGGGTCGATGAGGCAGAAAAGCAAGCAAGTGGACCCTGCAGTCAGGCTGCCTGGGTTTCTTGATAAACAGGAATAGGGTAACAATGATAGGCCTGTTTCCTCATCTGTAAAATGGGATATTTGTAGTGCCTATGTCATAATGAATCCCTGTAAAACACTTAGAATAGCAAGTGACACACAGTAAACTTTACTAAATGCTAAGTAGTTTAAATAGAATGGTCTAGGAGGAAGGCTGTGGACTATTTGGGGTTAGGGACTAGAGGAAGGCAGTGGTGCGTGAGGTGATGTATTTTTGTGAGGAGGTGGAGTAGGGTAGTCGGTGTACATGAGCAGAGAATCATTTTAGAGAGAGTAGATTTGAGTTTCGGGGAGGGTGCTTAGGAAATAGGAATCAAAGATCAGGGTGGAGCAGGGTTAGAGTGGGGAGACTTTTGCCTATTTTTCCTCTTATGCCTCCTTTGTTCAGGGTCCTGGAATTCACACCAACACTCAAGCCTCTCCAACAATATCTGCTCATTGACAGTCAGTGGTTAGTGGTCAGTGGACCTGGTGAGGGCAATTAGAGAGACTGTGGCTCCTTAGGACAAGGGCTGGGTATTATTCATCTAACCAGCAACTGATACACAACATATTAATAACTTTTGGTTCTACAAATGAAACTTTGTAGCTTTCTATCTCTTCCTGGCTTTATTCCTCTTCCCTTTTTCTTGGAAGAAGGAGCCAGCCACAGCTGTTGCCTGACAAATGACCATCAGTTGTTTAGAGAAATAGCCTGTCTAAGCATCACTGACAGGCACATTCTTACAGGCCTAGCCCTCATCCCCTGCAGCCTAAGCATGGACACGCCAGCCCCAGGAAAGCAGGCTCTTGTTTAGACTGGATGGCACCTGCTTGCATTGGAGGGGAGAGTGAGGATGTCTCCCAGCCCTGAGGCCTTTCTTGGGGTCCATGGGAGGGGCTTCAGACAGCCCTCCCCAGTCCAAGTCAAGCTGTCAGTAGAAGGCAGGGCTGTTTGTCTCTCTCTGCCCTTTTTCTCTGGGCCCTCAGGGCTAGAACTGCTCAGCACTCAGAGCACTGTGGGCACTTGAAAAAGCTTTCGGGGGAAAATGGCAAAAAAGTGAAAACAAAATTAGAGGGAGAATGAGGCTACCAAAAAGAAAGATTTACAACACCACCCACCTTCTGCCTGCGGCCTTCTCCTGCCTTCTGCCCCCCTCCCCCGGCCTCTCCCTTTCTCTTGCTTTCTCACATACGCTTCAGAAATCAAGGACTGTCATCAAGGCCATTAGCGATGTCTATTCTGGGGATGTACAGTACAAAGCTTAAACCTGGTATTTACTGATGACTGACAAGTGAAACGTTTTAGCTGTCTGGGTGGGGATGTGACAGAGAGCCAGGAGAAAGTCTGCTCCTGTTCTTCAGTCTGTTAATTCTTTAAAAAAAAATGTTTTAAGTGAATTTTGTGCTTGGGGAAAGAGGTGTGATTGGCAGCCCCTGGGGGAGGGGGAGCCTTGAAAGAGATGGTGCTGAATGGGGGCTGTCGCTTAAGAACCACTTATTGTCTGCCAGGTCTTACATTTCTGTGTCACCTGTTCAAGCCCTTGGCAGCCATATAGAATGATAACAATAATGATTGGGAGGATGATATCACTTGTGTCTGCCTCTGAGGAGGTCAGGCTCCATGGGTTATCTGTCCCTGGGGAAAGAATTTATTTCATGGATTTCCACCTATCTATGAGAAGAGGGCAAAGTTATTTTCTTCCCCTGGAAGGAAATTCAATTCAGTTCAACAAACATATGTTGATTTATTGAGCACCTACTATATGTGAGAAGCTAGACCCTGTGCTGTCAATGGAGGGTCTACAGTAAGCTATAAAGATGTGGTGCAAAGCTTAGAAGATAATGCAGGAAGGAAAAAAGAGGGAGAAATGTGTTGAGTAGCAATGTAGGGTGGTGCTGGACTTTGGAGTCAAGAGAGTCCTGGGTTTGAATCCCGGCTTTGCCACTTACCAGGCATGTGGTATGGGGCACACTGTTATCTTTAAGCCTCAGTCTCCTCTGTGAGAAGGTGGGCATAGTCTTAGCGACTTGGTAGAGATTATGTATATAAAGCATCTGCCAGAGTCACTGCTCAATAAATGTGGTGCTGTTATTGTATGTACCATATGCCAACTCACTCCGGAAAGTTTGCTGGAAAATCCAGCCTTCTGCTCAAAAAATGTTTATCTTCTGCAGCTTGTGAAGGTCTCTAAGTGCTGCCCACTGCACATGTGGGTGACTGACCCCATCTCTGAGGTCCACCCCCACAGCTCCATGAAATATTCAATGTCGATGTTATTTGTTGACAGTTATTAGCTCTGCCTCATGTTCCTCTTGCCACAGAGAGGAGGTGATTCATTAATATTTATTCATCTTGATTTGCTTTGTTTTTCTTTTTTTTCAAAAGCCCATTTCAGGATTTATGAACTAATTTTGTAGAATGCATAACTCACGCTCTGTGTGTTTGGGCAGCCTACATTGCCTGGAACAAAATCCTTCCAGGGGTGTAGAGGGTCAGGGTTATTACAGCTCCAGCTAGACTCTGTTTGATCAAATCCGTCTGCAAAGGCATTTAGGAAAGGCTTTGGCCTCTCTGCATTAAGAGCCTCTGTGTTATCTCACTGTGGGTGCAACAACCAACCTGTCCCTGTTCCCGTATTCTCCCAAAGCTCTTTCCTGGGTGCCAGAGACCCTGGCAAGGATTAGCAGCAGGTCCTTAGCTCATCCAAGACATGTGCAGCTTCCTTTGGCCTTGCTTCCTTCCAGGAGCTGAAGACATTTATGCCAGAAATGGTGCAGCTGGACCTACAGGGACTTGTTACTGTTTCACGTAGCCCTCAGACAGCACTCGTGCAGCCAGATAGGCAAGTACATGAGGAGATTGGCTTCTAGCTTCGATGATATAAGCCCTTCCTTTCTCCTTTTGGCTGTGCAGAGCTCCAGGACCTCTGCATCAGACTCGGAACATTCTGTGGGTGCACAGGCATGTTGCACATCCAGAAGCCTGCCAGCGAGCGCCCCCTCCTTTCCTGGCTGAGCTGCTCTCTTTCCCAAGAACCGCCTCTGTTGTCAACGCTGCCATGCAGGCAGCACCCCGGTGCCACATCTTAAGTTAGATGAGAAGGAGTCAGATTGGGGAAGGAGAACACATTCAGCATCTAAAGGACAGGTGTTTTTCAACCTACTCTTGCATATCCTTGAGTGCTGGCGTGTGCTGCAGCCGGCATCGAGCATGAGTGAGGTTCATCTGAGGGTAAGTTAAAGTGGATTCTGTCAGCACACACAAAAGGATGGAAGGGGATTTGGTGTTTCTATAGCAATTATGGGGGGAGAATATTGCTGACGAAAATAAAACCTGAAAATGTGCCCTTGACATGTGACTGCTTTATTCTCTGCTCTCAGATAGGAAAGGAAGACAGTTTGCTCTGTTTTATTCAGATTTTTTTGAAAAAGGAGGCAAACTGACAGACAGGCAGAGACAGACACAATGAGACACAGAAGGAGAGTTGGAGTTCAGGAAGAGAAAAAGATTACAAATAGGCAACTATCCCAGAGGCTGCAAGCCAATCTCCCCCCTCCCCGTGCCCCCAACCACCTTTTCTGACTTGTTATAAGGAGTTTGCCATTTAGCATACCTCTGCCTTTCCCCAGCTCGCTGGAGGATGGGGCAGGAAGCATGGCTGGTTGTAGCTAGACCTATATCCCCTGACATGGCTTGTCTTATTTTTTATTATTATTATTTTTTAATCCAGTATTCTCTGGAGCTGTGCAAAAGTCTCCTGAAGGCTGGTATGCATGGGGGGCAGTGCTCCAGCATGGGCTCCCCCAGGACCCAAAGCAGCAATGCTGCTCAAGATGGGAACAGAGTGAGGGTGGAAGCAGGATTACTTTTCACCCAGCTTGTATTGTAGCCAGCTGGCACACAGAAGGGAGACCCCGATTTCTGTTTTCAATATCCATATTCCATCAACAAGTCCTGATTAATTATTTCCTATTCTGTGTAAGAACCCAGTAGGCAATAGGGAGGTACGAGGTACAATTCTTACCCTAAGGGAATTTTCTGGCTGGTAGAGGATGCAAGGCAACCATCCATGAAACAATGAAAGGTAATATCAGTATACCAAGGAGTATCTAAATAAGATTACAAATGTGATAGAAAAATAATGTCAATATACCAAGGAATATCTAAATAAGGTCACAAATGTGATAGAACCAGAGAGGATCAGATGATGAGGAAGGCTGGAATACACAATAAAGTCTTCACAAAGGGGGTGGGGCTTGACTTGGGCCTTAGAGGGTAGACAGAATTTAGAAAGGCAAGAAAATACCAACACGGAAAGGAACAACATGTGCCAAGGCATTGAGGCATGAATGACAAGAAGAATTCATAATGCAGGAAGGAGATCAGGAGGTCTGAAGAGGGTGGGGGTGGTCAGGGATTGCATCTCTTAGGAAAAAAAACTGTTAAGAGATAATAAGGTGTAGAGAATTGTTTCCTAAGTGCATCCTGAGAACCCCAGTCCGGCAACTTGCATTGTGAAGGGAAAAGGGGGTTCCACATTTAAATAGGCTGGATTTCTCTTTCCAAGATTCACCATTCCTATCCTATCTGCATTTTTAGGGCTCTGAGAAGTCATATTCTAAGGAAACCCCTTAATTTAATTTAATTTTGAATTTTTTAAACGTCTCTCTCTCTCTCTCTCACTCCTCTCTCTCTCTATATATATATGTATGTATATATACACACACATACATGTATATGTGTATATATATTTACATTTGCCAGATGTATATATATTTACCAGATGTGTGTGTATATATATATATATTTACCAGATGTGTGTGTATATATATATATATACACACACACATATATATAAAAAACACCAATATAATATCTGTTACCAAATCTTGGAACTTAGTGTTCTATGACCCGCACACTGGGAAACATAGACACAGGAGCCAAAGTCTCGGGATTTAAGCGCATATCAGCTGTTTCCAACTGAGTAACTTATTAGGTGAGGAAAGCAGTCATATCACTTAACATTCTTGTGCCACCCCATTTGATTGTTGTGATGATACAGTATAAAGTGAGCTAAGGTATACCAAGTCTTTAGCATAGAGCCTGCCCTAGAGTACGCACTGAATAGGAGGTGGCTGCTTGGGCCAGTGCCAAGTGCTGCAAGCACAGTGGAGTGACTTCGACTTGAAGCAGGAAGAAATCAAAGGCTACTGAAAAGTCTCAACTAGGGTAGCCCACTGTGAAAGCAGTTGTTGATAAGGTGCATCTGGAAGGAGCGGCAGGATGGATTGCATGGGGAACGAATCAAGATTTACGAAGGCATAGGTATATGCTACAGGCAGAGGGTCCAGAATCCAGCCAAAGCTGTACACTGATATTTTCCAAAGTGAAGGAAGGAAGTGGGCAAGGGCCAGGAAAGAATCACCTCCCCACTTGCAGATAGCCAGGCAATTATGCTGCAGCTGCATCTGGCTACGTGGGGTCTGGAAAGTGTGGCTTCTCTTCCATGACTCTGACATGGTGAGAGCCCCACCTCCCCTGGGGCTGATGCATTAAGATCCAGCACAGATTGTCACCGTCTCTGCTCTCACAGACATCAGCTCGCCATCAGCTTGGCGAGTGATTGACAGGGACTAAAGGACAGGCATGTCTGCCTGTCTTGTCATGCCCTGCCATGCCACCCCGGTGCCCACCCCTTTCTTACTCCTTACACCTCCTTTCATCGGGCTGCAGCCCAGCTCACCCAACCTGCTATCGTTCACCTGGCTCTTGGGCCCCTGAAGTAGAGGTAAATGCAGATGTGTGTCTTTTCTCTGTGGCTCATGCATTCTCTCTTTCTCTCCCTCTCTTTCTATCTCTCGTCTCTCCCCCTGTGTTTATCTTATTGACTTTCAAATTCAAAAACAACAAACATTTACTGGGCACTTGCTTTAGGCCAGTCACTCTGCTAGGTGTTTTATTTATTTAGCAAACACTTAGGTAGCATTTACAATATGCTAGAAATTGCTCTAAGTACATTTCAAACATTAAATCAATTCTCCTGATTTAATCGCTTGAGGTAGTTGCTGCTGCTATTTTCATTTTTACAGATAAACTGAGGGGCAGAGAGGTTTAAGAAACTTGCTCAGTGTCACTTAGCAAATAAGTAGTGGAACTGGGATTCCATCCCAGGGACCTGGCTTCACCTCCTGTGCTCCTAACCACTGTGTCTTACTGCCGCTGTGCCTGTAGAGCATTATAACATTCACATCAGAACATGTGAATGTTGGGGTATTTTTGTACTTAGGAAAAGAGGGACTCCAAGAAATGATGACTTGTCCAAGGTCACACAGCAGCGAAGAAATGGCAGAATAATAAATCCGAGCCTAGGTCTTTTGTTTCAAGTTCAGGGCTAATTCCTCTCCACAGGCTGGCTCATGTCTTCTGGCATAGTCCCGTATCTAAGAGGGAAGTTGTGTGGGGAGAAGCAGGTTCTGCTGAAGTTAAGGTGCAGCCCCAGAGGCTCCACTTCCAGAGTGGAACTGCACTGCTCAAGCTAGTGAGATGAGGGAGAAGGGGTGGTTCAGGCAGGTGGCAGCTGGGGTGATGCCAGCCCAGGAGCTCTGTGTGCTGAAATTTGCTGGTGGGCACAGAGAACTCCTGTTCAAGCTCTCTCCACCCTGCTGGGAGGGCAGAGGAGAAGACAGCCTGAAGTCTGAGAAAGGGAATCCATCTGGAAACCCATTTGATGTGCAAACTGTAGTAAGCATATGAATTTCCTGGCTTTGTTAAAGGCAGATTCTGATTCAGTGGTCTGGAGAGGGGCCTCAACTTCTGCATATTTAGCAAGTTCTCAGGTGCGGTTGGTGCCACAGGTGGGGATCACATTTACCAGATCTCCTGGGTGTATGTTATCTATGGGTTTCTGGCTCTTTTTTGTGGGAGGTCAGAGGTTGTGGTTTGCAGAGGTCTTGGTTGGTGCTATATACCCTACCCTTGCTGCTAATTCTGGGAGGGTGGAAGGGTAGGGATTAGATATGAAGGAAACAAGGGCCAAGGGCATCCTGCTTTTGCCCTGCCTATTTTCTAGGCTGCCCTGTCCTTTGGCTCCAGTCAAAGCTTCAATGCCCTGCAAGGTTTCCCTGAGACTCTCTTCCTCCAAGCACTTACTGACCAGGTCAAGCCCCCAAGCATCTCTCTCCACAGCAACACTGCATTTGACTGCTCGCCATCTGTCCTTGCTTAAAATGCTCTCAGGTTTGTTCTGTAATTGGCCTCATATGCTTATGCTTCCCCTATCTGACTAGATGATATGAGCTCCTTGTTCTTTTATCCTCAGGCCTAAGACATTGCTTGGTATCTAGGATGAGCTAAAATGTGAAACAAATAAAATAATGAATGAAATAAGACCTCTTTAAAAACTTTCCTTTCTATTGAGAGGTTCTCAGAGGGATGCTGAACAACAGTTTCCAGTTTTAGGTAAACATTTTTAATCCACTTCTTATTTCAGGGGTCTTTCCCAGTGGCCTAAATTTTGGAGAAAATGGGTGAAATGGGCTGGCTGCAGAAACTCAATGGGGCATACGGAGCAGCTAGGAAGGCTTGTGAATTCACTCAGTTAGTCAGGACGGTGAAAAGGCTGAAACCTATAGCCAGGAGGGCTCCTCGTCCCAGCCTAGAGCCCAGCAGCTTGCTCTGCCCTTGGCTTCTCACAGGTCATTTGTTAGCCTCCACAAATTCCATAATCTCCTGCTCACATTCCTGTTTTATTCCAAGCCTGTGATCTTAGTTTCCCAATAGCATTGATCAGATCCATGAAATTATCCCCCCACCCCCATCCCCGAGGGGGAGCCTTCACTAGGGGGAAATTGGGGAGCTAATAAGTTTTCTTGCTGGCTAACCAGTTGCCTGAGGCAAACACCAGCAGCCCTAGGCTCCCAGATCCTGCAGTGATAGATGCTGGCAACCAGGCTGCTCACAGCAGAGTCAGTACTCAGGAGGCAACAGGCAAATTGCATTCTGTTTGCTTGCTTTCCCTGGGCAGTGTTTCTCCAGGACCCCTGGGGGCTTAGGTAGATCTAGCTCTGAACCCTTGAATGTGATCCAGATCTTATTTTGCTTTATTTTATTCTCAAATACTACCCGTTTGGGGGGATAGGTTGTCTCTGATCTTCTCCCTTCCCTGCTGCCCATCTCTGCTTTCCCTAAGAGCAGAGGTGGGAATATCTGCAGGCATGTTGGACATTCTGCCTGTTTGTCAGGCTTTCAGTTCCAGTTATGGCGAACGAATTTGTATTGCAGCAGAGAGGAAAACCCAGTGTCTGGTTATAGTGGTGGGGTTTGGGGAACAGTTGCTTTTTCCTGGGCCAACACTTCATTGCAAGAAATGCTCAAGACCCTCTTCTAAAGCACAGAGGGTTTTAAGGTGGGGCTGCGGGACGCCCTTCCCATTCCTGACCTTCTCTTTTACCTCCCAGGCTCCTGCCCTGCTTCCCTAAACTCTGCAGCTGGCCAGCCTGTCCACTGCCAATCCACGGTGGATCCCTTTTTGCAGGTACTTCTGAGCTCACATGCAGCTTTTGTACAGCCCCTTTGCATTCATCTCCTTCCAGATTTCCAGCTTGACGAAGGCTCAGATGAAGAGTTCCAGAGAACAGATGGGAGGCTGTCATTACATGTTACTGATACACGGAGCGGCTTCAGCCTCATGCATGCCAGTGTGCTCAACCACACCCGTAATTCTTCCTCTGTTCCCCAGCCTGAGCCAGGAGCTCAGCCAGTTTTGGCAAGGAGTGAAAGTGTGAGCTTTCTAGGGGCATTTATATAAAACATGCTAGGATTGACAATGAGTTAGGGAACAAAACCTTTCTTCTTTTATTAGGGGAGAAAATATTGTGTTTCTCTAATTACCTTGTGAAAACTAAAATCAGAAGTCAAAAATTTGCTAGCCTAACTTGGGTGCCATGGCAGTTGGTTCACACAGGAACCTTCTGAAGATTGTTTCTTTGTCTAGTCGCAGACCTCCATGACAGCCACAGAACATACTTGGTAATGAATATTCTAGCAGGTTCTACAAGGTCATGGCACTGGAAGAATCAAAGCGGGTCAAAGGGATCTTATATTTCAGCTTCTCTTATTTGTCAGAGGAGCACAAACATTGGCCAGAGCAGAGAAATAACTCGTCAATGACTTACTAGTAATAAAACTGGGAATTGAACTTGGGTCTAATTCAATGATTTTTCAAGGAAGTACAGTGACCTCAGATTGTATAGTGAGGGATTTTATTTTCTAGAAGTAAGGAATGGAGAGTGGCTTATTTGCAAAATTTTATATGAGAGCCCAGAATTTTCCTTTATGCCTAGGGTGGTTTAAAAATCTCATAGGAAGAAGGACATCAGTTATCTTCTGGGCAATCTAATACTTTTAGTTAAAAAAAAGTTCACTTTGGCCCTCTTTGAATGGTCTCAAGAGAGACAAAAACAAGTTTTCCTTGAGCTTCATTTCTGCATGAAATTTAAACCTTAGGCCTTTGAAACCTGTATAGAAATAGTAAAGCTGAAAACTCTCCCTTGAAAGCTGGCCCAAGATCTGGATTTTTCTTTACTTATCCCATGAGAAGTGGAGCTATATGCACACCCTCAATACAGCCTCTTCCTCTGTTCTAGGAAATCCACCACGTGGCTCTGGAAATTTGAAACCCAAGCACTAATCTGTCGTGGAGATTAATAAGAAGCGTTTGCTCTGAGGAGCTAGGCTGTGACCTAGTAGAGAGTTGTTGGCGCACTGGCTCACGCCTGTAATCCCAAGACTTTGGGAGGCTGAGGTGGGCGGATCACCTGAGGTCAGGAGTTCGAGACCAGCCTGGTCAACATGGTGAAACCCCATCTCTACTAAAAATGCAAAAATTAGCCAGGCATGGTGGCAGGGGCATGTAATCCAAGCTATTCGGGAGGCTGAGTCAGGAGAATCGCTTAAACCCGGGAGGCAGAGGTTGCAGTCAGCCAAGATCGTGCCACTGCAATGCAGCCTGGGCGACAGAGCAAGACTCTGTATCAAAAAACAAAACAAAACAAAAAAAAGTTGTCTATGTGGTAAGCAGAGCTGTGACTCCTCAGGCTCCTTCCTCTGAAGAGATGCTTGTTTTCTAAGGATGAGTTTAGACTGAACTGTGCCCACAAATCATTGCTTGTTCTGCGAATGTCTGTGTGCTTGTTTGAAGTGATGCTTATAGGAGATGGAGAGCTCAGGCTTGTGAGACAACAGGAAGGAGCTGCAGGCATAATCTTCACCCCATGCCAGAGAAAGGACCATCAAAAGGAAATGATTAGGAATCATTAGGAACCAGAGCTCAGCCTGGACTGTTCTGTGGTTTGCCCACTGTAGCACGACAGGAAATTGAACAGACTAAACTTTAAGAAATGCGGAGAATGAAGGGTATCATGAAAAGGAGATAAAAGTCTGTTGCAGATTTTCAGGCCTTAGGTGAGGAAGGCCTGGGATGGGCAGAACTGAATGTGAGAGGCGATTACCGGGGAAGAATAGGTTGGATTTGGTGGCAGACAGCATCTAAGGGATTAAGGAAAGGGAGTAATTGATATTATCTCAAAGAGTTTGAGCCTGCTTACTGTGGATCTGCAGTGCCATTAACTGCATAAAGAAATTTTGAGAAGGGGAATCATTTGAGGTCTGCCTCCGCACTCAGTGGTGGTAGAAATTCTCCTCCCAACAACACAATAGCTACCACCTATAGATTGCCAAGCCCTTCCGCAAATGCATGAAGGGAGGTATTAAGTGACTTGCTCCCTCAAGGTCTTTATCTACTTTTCTGTGGGTTCACCTTTGGTTCCCAGGGGAATTTTGCATTTTTAGTGAAGTAGCCATGCAGAGACAAGGTCTGTAGACTGGTGTGTGGGGACACAAAAGGCAGTGAGCAGATAAGAGCTGACAGTTGCTATGCCAAAAACAGGAGAAAGGGGAGACATATTTCTCTTTATGCAGCGGAGATCTTCTTTGATCAATTTACATAAATTGATTTTTTTAAAGTTTGAAACCTTTCTCCCCATTATTCTTATTTTCCTCTCAAATCAATGAATGCATCTCAGTTTGATTTTCTATAATCAGTGGCTTGCTATGAGCATTTCTATCCTACAGTTTAAAGACCTGTAAATAAACACTTTCGTGTACTCAGGGGAACAGATGCTTAAAGGTGTTCTTTGATAATGTACATGATCAACACTTAATGCATCTTTTTGTAGCTTCCCATTTTCATGAAAACAAGTTATCCTAAAGAGAATTATTTCTAAAGTCAAGGACTGGCTCCTTCTGGAAACCCCCATCTAGCCCCCAGCATAGGTTGATGGCTGGGCTGGGCTTTGTCTCTCAGGCTGCTTGGCAACAATGGGCTCTCTCCTCACTGGGCACTGACCAGCCGCTGGGAACAATGAACTCATGCACCCTCAGCCAGCACCAGGAGTCACTTAGTTCTCCTTTTGACCTTGCCTTTCAAAAGCTGATCCTTATTAACCATCAGGATGCGGTGGGGAGTTGCTGAGACAATCCTCAGCAGCAGCAGGGTGACCCCCGAGTTGTGTCTGCTCTGAGACAATATAACCCCTAAGCTCCAGGGCTCCGAGGGTAGTGATTTAACAAATCGTGTGTTTAAACAACTGATGGCACGACGCTGTTGGAGGGGTCTTTGAAGCACATTTCTAAATAATGGGGGAAATAATGAACACCTCTCACAAGGGTATTTAAATGACATACACATTAGGAGGTTGGGGGGAGGCTCTTCTCTTCTTGCATAATGGACACTTTTTCCTGTTCTTTCATCCTGTTTTCACTTCATGCTTCAAAAATAGTTGTTGAGTGAGCAGACCTCTGGGCACTTTGTAACCAGAAAGAGAAAGACCGCCAATGGCCTGTCACCAGCCTTTCTGAGAGGTCCCAGCCTCTCAGATGCCCTGATGCAGGCAGAGGAGTCCAGTGGAAAGCCCAGAGCATTCCTGCTCCTAAATCCCCTTCCTCACCTGCCATTGGAAACATATTTCCTTATTTAAGACATTGCTGTCAGTAGATGGGAGGTGGCATAGAAAGCTGCTTGTGGGCAGTGACATTTGGCACATTGCAGTTACCCAGATTATGTTCTAAGGAAAATATTAGCTGGGAGAGAATGGGGCACAGGATTAGCAAACTTTGATTTCGTGTTGTGGGGTACGTGGGAGTATGGAAGGGAACAGGCTTGTAGGACTAATTCCAGGTTCTTAATATAGCAAATCTCTGCCTACATCTTTACCTAGTTTCTCACGACTCCCCATATCCGGCTTGTTCCCTAGCATCATGCTGATATTCTTGACACACGCTTACACTGGTCCCTCGCCTAGACCTCTCCTACTTTGCCTGTGTATCTTCTACTCTGCCCTAGTTTCTTCGTGAGGCAGGGTCACAGTACCACTTTTGCTGGTCCTAAGCAATTTGGCCTTTGTGGGCTCTTCTTCCAAAAAAAAAAAAAATGTAAAATTCTATTTGATAACAGCACTGGCATGAAGATGCGTATAATGTAGGCTGAATTCATTGTTACTAGCCGTTATTATTATAATCATCTATTCTTGTTTTAAAAGAAATTAAAATTAAAGCATTTTTGTGGGCCACAGGCTCTGTGGCCTGACGGATGTCATGGCTAACGGATGTCAGCTCTGCACCTGAGAGCCCTTTCTGCCTTCCCCGCAGGTTACACACCCATTGTCTGTTGTTCTCATTAACTTCTCTTTAATATTGCTCTTGCCACACTGTACTGTAGTTTCCTGTTTGCGCAGGTTACGCACCCATTGTCTGTTGTTCTCATTAACTTCTCTTTAATATTGCACTTGCCACACTGTACTGTAGTTTCCTGTTTGTGTATTTGCCTCTCCTATTAAACCTGGTTCTTCTTGAGAAGAGAGAACTGTGCTGTGTTCATTGTGGAATACTGCACAATTCACCCAGGGCCTAACTCGTAAGTAGCCACTCCACACATCCACATTGTACTGAGCGGTTGACAAAGACAGAGCTGGTGGGGCACTGTCCTGAGGGTTCGGCCACAGCAAGGAAGGCACTGGTCAGCAGGAATGGTGCTGACAGGGCAAGTGGGTGGGAGGATTTCGCAGATTTGCCTTGCCTGTTCTACACATTAGCTGAGGGCCGAGACTGCCCACAGGCAGTCATAAACTGGCTGTGGTGGTCAAAGCCACCTGCAGATCTGACAGGAGGAAAGGCTAAGCTCCTCTCTGTCCAACGCGGCTTTAGTGCCCTAAGGAGATCACCTTTCCAAGCACAGCAACCCTGCCTGTGAGCAGGGCCCTGTGTGCCCACATAAAATGGAGAAACAAAAACAACACAATCGATAAACGAGCAATTTCATAAGTATGATTTGGGGTCAGTTTGGCTGGAGGGGAGAATTTAATTGCAAAGCTCCTACGTCTCAACTGCCTGAGGGTAGAAATTGGAGAGAGAAGAATGGGAGACTCGAATGTTGATTATTAATAAGTCTTAAGGGTTGAGGGTGGAGGAAGACCTGTGAAGACTGAGGTTAAAATGATGCAGATGAAGGCACTTTAGGTGAATGCTTTGAATTTATACATTGCTGCTTCAAATGGCCCCAAACTTAAATAGAAAGATGATCTGTGTTGCATTTCAGAATTTGTTCTTATAAAAATGAAAAGCCCAATAGGGTATTGTGCTAACAACCTACTAGAATACCATTTGGCATTAAAAGAAAAAGAAGTTCAAGATGTAGTCCCTACTGTCAAATAGCTTGGAATCCAAACTGGGCAAGGCAGGTCATGTGTGAATCTCTTGTTGAAAGTGACAGAGCAGAGTGAAAACCACATAGACCTCTGGACTGAGTAAGCAAAGAGCAGGTGGGCAAGAGAAGTGAGGGGATCCAGGCTCCCATGCATGAGTGGGCTGGGCTGCCGGGACAGGTTTATCTAGCTGGCCTCACTGGAGGGTTCCAGTGGGACTAATGGATGGTTGCTAAATCTGCATCTCCAGATCTAGTCCTGTTTCTGAGCCCAAGAACCAAAATTCAATCAGCCTTTGGGATATGTTTTCCGCAAAAGACCTTTGTCAACTAAACAGACTTGACCGTTGCCCTCTAGCTCCTGCTGGTGTCCCTATTTCTGTTAATGGCAGCTTCATTACTTAATCAGAATCAGTTTCAGCATTCTTCCTGACTCCATCCTTTCCCGTATGCTCTATTTTAATTGGTACTCTGGCCCCAAAGATTCTTTTTTCACAGCTTCGCTTAAGTCAGATCTCATCTTTCCTACTCACAGGCCACCCCCTTAATATCATTTCGTGTCACCTTCTTCTGGACCGTTGAAATATCCTCCTAATGGTTTCTTCTTAGACTTATTTTAATGTATATATTGGCATTAGAATAATTTTACCCACACTGTCCTGGCTCAACATCTGCAACAGCTGTTCATGGCCTCCTAAAAAAGAGTCTTCATTCAGGCATTCTAGAAAACTGATTGAGAAGAAAAGGCTTTGGTGTCAAACAGACCTAGTTTGAGCCCCAGTTCTATTACTTAGCAGTGTGACATTTGCTGAATTAACCACTCTAATCCTGATAGTTAAAATTTAGGTAATTATTGTGTCTACATCATCATGTTGCTGAAAAGATAATAGATGCAAAGTGCGTAGCACAGTGCCTGGGACAAATAAGTGCTGGATAAAGCAGTTATTATTTTTTAGCTATTATGATGCTTTGCTTCTTATCAATCTGACTACATCTATATTTAAAATAACCCTGATGTTAATTACCTCACACATACCTATGTTCTTACCAAGTGAGACTCTTCACTTGCCTCCTGCAGGGGGGGCTCTGAAATTCATTCTGCTGCCACAGGACTGGCATCCAGGATAGCCGAGTGAGGACCTGGCACCACCTGCTCCCTGAGCACAGCCTGCCAGTAACCCACAGCATTTCCCAAGCCACAAATTCAGACTTCTTCTTCAGTCCCTGGTTAGTGATGAGCCTCTCTTCAGTGCTAGGACCCTTCCCTGAGTCCCAGTAAGATGGGCCGCCCTTGAAACCCTGCTCATCCTGGCAATCTGCTGTATCTTCCTTGCTGGCATGTGGATGTCTCTGTTTCCAACAGGAAGGGCCATCCACCCTTGAAACACTGCTATGTGGAAAATTCTGAGTATGAGGCAGCATAGAAGAGTGGTTAAGGTCATGGTTGTTGGAATCAGCTGAATAGGGTCCCATTTCTGACTCCAGTGTGACCTGGAACAATTTATTTAACCTTTTACTTCCTAATCTTTAAAGCAAGGACAATCATACCACCTTATCCTGTATTCTTCTAAATGCAGGGCCTGCTAAACACACCTATGAGCTTACTTGGGCATGTGATCCCAGAAGAAGGAACCCAAGCCAGGGGAGGAGTGAATCAGTGTAGGAGGGCAGGCAATGCAAGGAGGAGTTATGGATTTGGATACTGCACAAGAGACTGGTGCTCAATTCCATTAGAATTTCTAAGCGGCATTATGAAATCCAAATCAAAATGAGCTGTCCAGGGAACAAAAGGAGAAGCATTTATCCATTAGCTTCTGTCACCCATTAGTCAAGGGTGATCCCCACTTGGCGTTAACCACTGGCACTTGCAGGTTGCACTTGTGTGCGTGCCAAGCTGCAAATCAGAGAAGCTCTAGGACAGGAAATGAGAGGTGCATGGTGAGACTGGAGGAGGTGCTGTCAGGCTGTGCCTGAGCAAAGCTGGTGGAGGCCTTTGCAGGCGGGTTCTGCAGAAGTGGCTGGAGCAAGAGACAGAGCCTAGAGATGCCTCTGTACACATTTCTATCTTGCAGAGCTGTAGTTCTCATGAGGAAATATATTAAAAGGTTAAGCTCCCACAGACATATAATAAATACTTTCTTACTCAAAACTCTCCCATGGCTTTTCATCAAGTTAGAAAAAAATTTAAAGTCCTTGACCGTGGCCTCCAAGTCTCTATATGATCTGGACCTGAGTTACCTTGCAGACTTTATTTCTTACACTCTACCTTTGGCTCTTTCCTCTCCATTTATACCCTGCAGGTTGGACCACAGGCTGCCGTTCACTCTAAAGTGAAAAACACCCTGAGCTTATTTTGGCCTCAGGGCCTTTGCACTTTCTACTGCCTCTGCCTAGAATATCCTTTCCCTTGATGTTTGTATGGCTTTCCCCTCCCTTCATTCATAGCTCTGTTCAACTCTCACCTCCTCAGAGAGGCCTCCCCTGACCAGCCCATCTAAAATAGCACCCCTAATACTGTGGTGACACTCTATCTCCTTACTGAGATCTCCCATACCACTTACCTTTCCTGACATTATGTTGTTTGTAACTTATCTGCTCATTGTCTATATCCGTTTTTAGAATATAAAATCCATAAAGGAAAGGACTTTGTCTATCTTGTTCATAGCTCTATTGCCAATGCCTAGAGCAACATCTGGTACATAGTAAGTGCTCAATAAATGTTTATTGCATGAATCAGTGAATAACTTGTATCACGCCATATCCTGCTTTGGATATGGACAGCAGCCAGCCCCTAAGGCACTCATTGAATCCCGCTCCAGACCCTGCCCTGACCAGACTTCCTCCCCTTCTCTGCCCACCTGTGCACCTAAAGACCTACAGTGCCTTTCAATAGATTTGGTAGAATCATAACAGGGGCCATAGATAGAAACCACTTCCCATCTTGCTGCGTTATGCACATGTGTTTTCCCTTAGAGACAAGGTTAATTTGAAACCCTTCATGATGCTGGACAAAAGTGACTTTGTCACATCACCTCCACCACACATTCAAATTTTCTAAAGTAATCTCTGCATTGCTTATAAATATAAACAGTTTACGTGAACTCCTGACTACCCAGGGCAGGATACCCTAGGGTCAATATCCCTGTTTAGCTCAGGTGCTGAGAAAGCTTCCTCCCCATCCTGTTAGCTAGTTACTTCCAAACCTCATCTATTCCGAGCCAGGTATGTGGAGACTCTGCAGGAAAGTTCTGCTTATTTGTAATATTTATAGTATAATACACTGGGGAATGTGTTCTAATTTCCTAAATTTCTATATTTCCCCCATCCCTATCCAATTTGCTATAGATGACTTATCTACTATTTTCGGCAGATGGTGGTGAAGGTGGTAGGAAATGGAAGTTGTGATAGAGATAGTGATAGAAGCAGAGATGGAAGTGGAGGTGGAGGTGTTAGAGGTGGTGGTGGAGGTGGAGGAGGTGAGAAGACGGAAGTGGAAGTGGAGGTGTTGAAGGTGGTGCTGGAGGTGGAGGAGGTGATGATGGCGGTGGAGGTAAAGGCATTGGAGGTGGTGGCGAAGCTAGTGGTGATAGTGGAGATAGTGTGGTAGAGGAGGTGGATGTGGCAACGTTGTCATTCAAGGAATAGGAGTGGCAACATGCTCAAAGTGGACACCAAAAATTTTCTTCTACCTGGTCCCAGGAATGGGATATTACCCACTAAAAAATAGCTACCACTTCTATATTAGCAGGGAATTTCCTGAATATAAAAATTTTATTTTCCCAGTTATCAACCAGTTTCTCCACCCTATCACTTGCCTACTCTTTCCCTCTAAGATGTTATATTTTTGAAAATACTGCTTGAAAATACGACATTTTGATAAGCAATTTTAGTTTTAATACAGTTTGTGTTTTCTGGTTCTATTTATAAGCAATGCAGGATTCCTTTAGAAAATTTGATGACATAGAAAATCCTAAAGAAAAAGGAAAAACAATTACCCAGAACTGCTCAGAGGTCACCACTACTTACCTGTTCCTGCATTTTTCTTCCATTAGTCCATATGTTTCTTCCTTCATTTTTTCTTCCTTCCTCCCTTCTCTTCTTTCTGTCTTCCTTTTCCTGTCATCTTTCTATTTTCTATTGTGAAATTGAAATTCATATTATATTTATATAAAATTATAGATATAAAGCAAGTTTTATAGTGAAATAGTCTCACATCATTAAAAAATTCTTCAAAAATGTTTTTAAGGCATAAATAATATTACATCATAAGAATCACCTATAATATACTTATAGGGTTGAGTATTGAGGTTATTTCCAATTTATTTTTCTTATATAAAGGTCAGTTTTCCTGGGGCCATCTGAGAGTTCCACTTCAGGCAACCACGCACATTTCCTGAGCCTTTCCATACACAGAGTTATGCATATGCGATCAGAGGGGGTGCAAATGGAATGCAGAGTCACTGCCTTTGGGGAATTTTTATCCAGTCTGAGAGAGAGATTGAAATGAAGTCACAACATTTATAAACTAACATATCATCAAGTGAGAATTACTGTGCAGCAGAGCCATATTATAAAGCCAGCACCTGGGGAAGGATCAAGATCAAACTTAGTGGCTAACTCTTAGGCACCTAGGAGGGATTAGAGGATCATTGTTTATCCCACAGATATCCAAGTCCAGTCCAAGCTAAGGTGTAAGTTACTGCTCTGGGGTACATGTACAGAAAGGTATAATTTAAAGCTAAACTTTAAAGGGCAATGAGAGGCATGAATTAACAGAAAGGAAGAGGAGAACATTTCAGATCAGGGGAATGACAAAGTTTATAAAAGAAACTCACATGCAGGGCTTGAGAAGCCACTAAGCTTGGCTGTGGTGAAGGGCGGCTGGGAGGAATAAGGAGGAGTGGGGTGGGGAGGTGGGAGACACTGAGGCCCTTGAGAGGGAGGACAATGTGATGAAAATATCTCCTGAAGAAGATTTTCCTGGCAGTTGTGCTGGATATATTGGAGTTGGCAGACTCTGGGGACAGGGACATCTGAGTAGAAGGTGCTGAATTAAATCAGGCATGAGCTGATACGAACTGGATGTAGAATGATGGCAGTAGGACTAGAATGGAAAGAGAAAGCAAGGGAAACATTTTAGCAGAAGAGAAGGCTCAATGTGTAAAGGACAGATTTGGTAACAGGAAGTGAAAGAAAGAAAACTTAAAATTGGCTCAGTTGGCTTGAGCCTATGGGACAGGGCCCTTTTGGTTGGAGGAGTCAAGAAGACACATCCCTTTGCTTCTCTTTTCTGATACTTGGAATCCCCTACATCTCACAGGTACCATGAGCCTATAGAGGAGAAGATGGAATGGTTGTACATGCTGATGTTCGGTGTTGGTGAAAGAAACTCTCAAAGGGACAGCCAAATATTTAAAATCCTCAGGCATACACATTCTTATTCTGACCTGCCTGTTTGCTCTTCCTAAGACAGAAAGTTGGAATCAGTGTTTTTCGTTTGTTTATTCTAACAGTTCATGTTCCTGACCTTAAATTATTCTGGTCTACTGGGTCTTGGACTCACTTCTGATGTCTCCCATTGCTAGATAATGTGTCTGGTGCTTTTGAACCAGGATCGATGTGAATACAGCACTTCCAAATGGAGGCCTCAAACGTATTCCTTCCAAAACCCATCTATGATGTTTGTGATGATGATACGATAATTTTAGTACGGCTATTGCTATTATTGGGTATACTTTACATCCAAGGCTTGTATATGCACTCATTTTTGTCCTCCATGTAAATGTTACTCTCTCCATATTATTGAAAGGAAATAATGACTCAGAGTCATTATACAGCAACTAAGGTCACACCACTGATTAAGAGTTGGAGCTAGGATTCAAGAGTCTGATCACTGAGTCTGTGCTTTTTTTTTTTTTTTCATTTATATCACAGGGGCTTTTAAAGTTGTCCAGGTCTGTACAGGAAAACATCCCAAGGCCCCCCAGGATGTTGTTAACTAAGCTAAGCAGCTGAGACCCACTCATCTCATAAGTGCTGCTCTTTTCCATCCTATTTGTAAGTCCTGGCATTGAGAGGCCCTATGAAAATAGTCTGAAAACTCTTGAATCTGTCTCTCCTCTTCTCTGTGTCAGAACCAAGGATCAGACATTGATCTCCAAATCTAAATGGCTTAGCATTTTTATAATGACTTTTCTTTTGTTCCATTTGTTGTACCAGCTAATTGCTTTAGAAAATCTTGGCTAATTCCCACAGTTTCACCATCTATCGTATTTAACCAGCCTCCTCTCTGATATACAAAGTTGAGATAGCTTGAAATGTTCAAGGCATAATGTCTGGAATCAGAATAGTTTCATGGAATGCCAAAGCAGGAGGTGAGTCCTGAGAGGGGACTCACACCAGAAGCTTTCCCTCAGGTCTCCATTATTAATGAAACGTGGGTTGTCATGGTGATGGTAGAGCAAGTGGAATTGGGAGAAGACTTGAGAAAATATTGTAACACTGGGAGCCATAAAATCTTTGTGACAGAGTGTATCTTCGTGATGAGCTTGGGACATCCATTGCTTTCTCTCATGACATGTCTCAGACATTATGAGGTCAATATAATATCCTAGGATTATTTGAACCAGATGGGTCTGTGCCTTTTTTTAGTTAGCCTGGCTCCTAAGAGACCACATACAGGGCAACGGATCCTGATACCTGATACTGGCTATAGTTAAACCCTGTGGACATTATCTACAAAGCCCAAATAGGAGGCACGTTGAAAAATCCTAGGTGGGGATATCTGTTTTAACATACCCTTTGTTTCTGTACTTTTATGCCATGTACTCTTATATCTCCTTCCCTTCCCACCCTACACAGAAATAAGAAAATTAAAGATATACTAAGTATATTTGGGTGTAGTTCATGAGATTTAGTTAGGGGAATGACTAGATGTCCTGGTTTGCCCAGGATACACCTGTTGTCCTAGTGACTCCCTTCACTAAACAAGTGTTCAGGTGTGGATGATATATGGTTACTCTTGATAGAACTGCTGCTGTGGATATGAGGTATACCTAGGAAGGCTTGCACATCAGCAAGAAAGGGTAGTGTTGAGTACACAAGCCTGCGTTGCCTGTGAGCAGCACTCATGGCTTACTCCTTGGTGGTGAAGCCAAAGGGCCAATAGAAGCTAATCTGATGGCTCCAACTCTGCAGGACTCCAGCGACCCAGGAAGCCACATCCATCTGCAGGACTGAGTACAATTTCAAAAGATAGTAATGCCTCCAGAGGATGAGGGGGGGGATGGAGGACATTCCCAGTAGAAGAAAAAGCATAGGCAAATGTATAGTGGTTAGAACATGGATAAAAATTGGTGTTCAGTTTTTCTCTAGAATAGGATATACACATAGAAAGTACTAGGGGTTGACTTTAGAAATGTATACTATGGCCAGAGTATAGGGAACCTTGAATAGAAAGTAAGAACTTGAAATTCATTTCAGTGCCCAGTGGGGAACCATTTAAAGTATTTTAAGAAGGAGAAGAATGAGAGTTGTATCTTTGGAGGATTAATCACAGGAGGAAGACACAGATAGTAACTAGTTGACTATTGAAATTGCCCCCTGATTAAACAGTTAATAAAATCAAGAAATAGACTTAAATAGAAAGTCAGCAATAAAGAATAAACAAATTAAGTAGTCAACTCAATAGATTAGAAACAAACCTAATTAAAAGGAGGAAAGAAAGATAAAAGGAGAAATTAATACATCATTAAATAAGATAAACAGTAAATTTATAAACATATTCAAGAGAGAGTTTTTTTGAAAAAATTAAATTGAAAAATCTTTTGGAATATCAATCTAAGAAATAAAAAGTGGAAGTATACAAAATTCGTGATGAGAAGAGGGAGATAAGATTAGTGTAAAGGACATTTTAAAACCCAGAAGCCAAATTGTACATATCTACGGTAGTATATTTAAAATTCTTAATGAAATTGACGATTTGTTGGAGAAAGCATGTACACTAAAAATCTAATAACCTGTCTTAAGAATTACTCTCCCTTCCAAACTCAGTTCTGGATTATTTTACAGCTGTTTTCTGTCAATTTTTCAAATAACGAATAGTGTGTAATTAATTAGTCTCCCTAAGGAGAAAAAAAAATCTGAGTTCATTTTAAGAAGCAAGTATTTCCATGATACTAAAACTTGACAGAGTGCCACCCCCACAAAACAGAACAAAACAAAACAGAGCAGAACATTATCAGGACAATATGAGTTATAAATATTGATGTAGAAATCCAAAACAAAAGATCGGCAAATCACATTCATATGTATATTAAAAGAACTATGCTATCATATAACGAAGTACAGTTCATCCAAGATTGCAGCACAATAAATATAACAAGTAAGGGGCTTAGGCCTTAATAGAACTCATTTGAATTCATAAGAAAGCCCCTGCAATCCCAATAGAAAAAAAATGGGCAGGATATGAATGGACAATTCACATAAAAAATAAAAATGGCTAATAAGCATATGAAAAAGTATTAACCCTGTTAGTTATCAAAGAAATGCAAATGAGGCATCACTTTTTGTAAATCAAATTAGCAAAGCTTAAAAATAAATAATAGTAACACAAATGCCAATAAACATATGAAAATATACTCAACCTCATTAAATCAGGAAAATGCAAATTCCAACCACAATGAAATGCCATTTTACGCCCACTAGCTTGGCAAAAATGGAAAACTCCGGCAATCCAAAGTGTTTGGAAGAATGTGGAGCTATTAGAACTTTGTGGTTCTGATAAGGCTGGACAACTTGAAAAACAATTTAATGTTATCTAGAAATAATGAAGATGTGCACACCTCTTTACACAACAATTTCACACCTGGGTATGCACCGTTGCGTAGTGGTTGCCAAATGCTTTCACCTGCACATCCCCCAAAAGAATTCTGAAAAATGATACACTGCTTGCACAATTTTAAATTGTCATCTTAATTTTTCACTGGAGGTTTTAATGTAGTCAAGGAGTGTAAGTTCCTGTGTATTGTCTTTGAATTAGAAAAACAACATGATCAAGCTCTTCTTTAAGGGTTTAAGATTTTAATCATTTTTTCCTCCATAAACCTGTATTTTAATTTCATGAGTCCCTAAATGATTCTGTCCAAATTTAATATAGTTTTATGCTTGAAAGTCCTTAACTGATAATAATACATCTTCAGAGCAAAAATATGTGGATGAATTGAATTTTTCAAAGAATTTCTGTACGATCACAAGATTCTAAGCACTGAAAATTTCTTCTGGGTTGTGTTCTCATTGTAGTTATTATGAATACACAATTGATCAAAACAACATAAGTTAAGATTTTTGTTAGATAATTTCTAATTATGAAAACTAAATTTTTTATTGTAAATATATATCTTATTGAAATGGATAGAGGTGTTTCCCAATTGGCTGATGAATAAATATTATTTATGGCTAAAATGAGAAACAATACAGCATCAATTTTATTCCTGTTTATGGTTTTTATAGATGTAAGTGCTGCAAATCCTTGTTCTTATAAATAAATAGAAGAGAGAAGGGTGGAAGAACTTTTGTTTAGCCATGTCACTCAATTCTTTGAATTCATTTCCAGTCATATGCCAGGTATCACCTAGTGATTTATGATTGATGATTTTATCACCAGAAATTATTTTTAATAATCTAGCAGCTGAAAATTTGGCTTTGTGGAAAACATATAATTGGAATGCATCTGACTTGCAAAATTATTTGTTATCCACTCATTAAAGTCATTTGCTTTCTCAACATCGTTATAAAATTTTGAAATATCTGTTTGTCATCTTGGAGATTTTTATATTCCATTTTGATACAATATGGTATGGATCTGCCTGAATGAAAGGTATGCTTTTCTTCTATACAGTGGGAGAATAGCTATTAAAATAAGCGAGGTTAGAAAGAATTGGTTTCAAGAGAATGTATGTACAGAAATTGATGATTTTTATTTATTATTTATTTCTTAATTTTATTATTATTATACTTTAAGTTTTAGGGTACATGTGCACAATGTGCAGGTTTGTTACATATGTATACATGTGCCATGTTGGTGTGCTGCACCCACTAACTCGTCAAGAAATTGATGATTTTTAAACCGATTCCTGAACGATGTCTGTTCCCTGAAAGCCTTTGGAACAGTTCATGTCTCCCCAGGACCACACATACTGCAGGTTGTAAATTGTTGCCTGGGAGAAACTCTCACCCAAGGATTCTGGGAGACAGAGAAGAATCTTCACAGCTGCATTTTCCATAAATAGGCCCAGACTAGAGACAGCCCAAATATCCATCAACAAGAGAGAGGATAAGCCATGATGCATTTATACAATGAAATACTATATAGCAGTGAAATAAATGAGTTTTAAACAACCAAGTTGCTGAAAAATATATACAGTATGATGTCATATTTATAAAGTTCAAAAACAAGCTAAATTGTAGATTATTTAGAGGATAAAATACATAGCAAAGTTGTAAAGGGAACAGCTAACAAAAAAAATTCTATGTTGTGTTTACTTCTTAAAGGCAGGGAGGCTATGAAAGAAGTGCATAGGGAACTTCAACACTTTGGATTATATTCTCTTTCTTAACCTGCATGGCAGGGTTTCATGTTTCCTCCTGCTTTAAAATTTTCATAAATTATTTTAAAAGTGTATGTATATTTGATACCTGGGGAGAACAATATATTTCTTTGTTATGTATAAGTAGTTAAAAATTTTAAATAGAAAAAAAAGGTGTGTGCAGTATTCCGTGTTGGAGATGGTTTTAGTGAAACCAATACTTATTATTAATTTTTTTGCACTGCTTCTGGGAATAAGAATGGGTACAGGTTTCTGAAAGGAATTTAGAACTATTCATAAAGAGTTAAAATTTTCATATTTTGAGATTCAGTAATCCTACTTCTAGAAATATGTCTTTAAAATCATTAGAAATGTTATCAAATATTAATATTAAAGGATATTGATCACAGTAGTATTTATAATAGGGAAAAATTGGAAATCACATAAACAGGCAATAATAGAAGCATATTCAAATATATTGTGCCAAAGCAATATGATAGATCATTCAGCCATTAGATTATATATTAAAATAATATTTAATTATCAGCATAGCAAAAAAACCTCATGATTTATTAAGGGAATAAAACTAGAAAACTGTATGTACATTATTATTTCAATTATTCTTATGCATGTGCATGTTGGAGTGTGTAGTTGGTTTGCTTTTGTATTACCACCACAGAGCCCAAGAAATGCTGCTTTTAAAAATTTCATTGTCTGCTGCACCCTCTCCTACTTAGCTGAGAGAAAATCTAGTCCCAGTCTCTCTGTCTGTCCCTCTGTAGCATGTCAACTGCCCCAGCTGCTGGGCCTGCCTGACGTGGAGCCTGGGAGGGTGTGAAGTTTCTAGATGAGAGGTTCACAAGGCAGGCAGCGCATGCAGGAGAGAGCCAGGCCATTTGAAATGAAGTCTTCGTTGTTTAAGTATCACAGTCATTATTTATACACAATGCAGCTTCTCCTTGCTTGGAATGATTTGCCTTGCCTACGGCCATCCAAATTTCTACCCAATTTCTAGCTCTATATCTCCTCAGTCCTCTTCTATG
This sequence comes from Homo sapiens, assembly GCF_000001405.40. Lineage (NCBI taxonomy): Eukaryota > Metazoa > Chordata > Mammalia > Primates > Hominidae > Homo > Homo sapiens. The sequence continues at coordinate 208,551,411 of NC_000001.11, forward strand.
AACCTGTTCTTAATTTATTTGACCCTCATGACCCCCTTCCCCATCCTTATCAGCAGCCCTGCTGCCCGACATCACAACATTTTATACTTAGTTATATTAGGGTTCACAAATCACTTTCATTTTATCTGTACCATTAACTTAAAAAATCATTTTAGTTTCATAGTTACCAAAGTATTTATATAGGGCAGGAAACCCAAGTGGGATCCACTAAGTACTCTTGGTTAATTGATTAATTGATTGAGTTATAAGAGATTAAATCTAGCCTTCATGTGACTTTAGGTATTAGATCCAAAATCTGGATCCTTAAACATCAACTTTCCCCTCTCCCCTCTAAAATGGCACGATCTTTTCAATGAGAGTCTGAGCAAAGGCAGTTCAGTTACTGAGAAAGAGAAACAGAAAGGCAGGGGAGTTAGGTCCTTTGATGTGCTCGCTACACAGAGAACTGAAGAAAATGCAAATGTTCCCTTCAACTAAGAGAAGCTTATCAATATTAAGAAGTACATGGAAAAGAAGAAAGACGGAAGAAAAAAAGATAACACTTAACAAGAGGATAATTTAGCTTGTTGGCAAGCACTTAGGAGTCTGGTTCATGAAAAATTGCTATTGCATAGCAGGTTTTTCTAGGCTTTTGTGTGTGAATCATGGTATTGATTTCATGCAAATAATCACATTTTGGTGGGTGTTAGGCTGTAGGATGGGGTAGAGGGAGGGGTAATTGAGAGAAAATCAAAGAGAGTAGAGAAAGAGATGCCTGTTGCTCTTCCAGCCCTTCCTACAAAGACCAGCAGCTGGACTGTGTGCACATTGCTAATTAAAAGATGGACGCCCCTTCCTTCTGCTTCCTTTTCTCAAGGGTTGCTCCAGAAAGACACTTGCCAAATAGAATGTTTTCTTCTCTGCGTTGGTTGAGATTGAATTATTGGAAGGGAGAAGAAAGAAAGATTGTGGATATACCTTAGGGATACGAATAAACCTGATTTTTGCTGAAAAAAACAACCTGTCTCCAGCCACGGCTGAATATGATAGCGACTTTTTTTTGGCTGAGAAAAATCCGCTAAGTCTGTTTGCCAGTTGGACTGTTGTGGTGCCTTTTCTAAAGTATTGAAGTTTGTCTTTTAAATTCTTTTGAAAAGCAGAATTAGTTTACTTAGTTTGTTTCTAATAGCTAATGAGAACATCCAGGAGAGCTCAGGCTGGGGTAATGATGGTGACAACAATGAAAGCCATCTAAGATTTATATTTGGTGTTCATGATTTACTCTTCCCTGGCCTTCACAGTTTACATATATTTATTCATTTAATCTCATGTCAGTCCTATAGGTAGGGGGTTTACAGATGAGGACATGTTAATATTCTAGCATTATGTGGCATAGCAGCCCCAGAGTTCATGTCTGTTCAAATTGTCTCTTGGGTCCAGATGGGGCCCATGGCTCTAATCACAGGTGAGATGGCAGGAAATAGGCAAAAGGGAAGAAGAGGTGAGGGCTGGAGTTGTGGAGGAGCTGAGGACAGTACCCAAGAGTGAAAGCCCCCAAGCAAATCAAAGACAGAATAAGAACAGAAGGGTCACATTTGGAAGGCATGGGCCAAGAGTCCAAGACCCCATCCATGCAGTGGACTTTCAGTCTAGGATAGGCCAGTAAAGCAGTGAGTGAAGCCCAGTATTGAGCAGGACCCTGTAAGGCTGAAGCACTGAGAAGTAGGCAGTGATGGAGGATGCTGAGTCATCTAACCACTATGCAGAATGATATTAACAAAAATCAGGTGATGGAGTAAAGTGATTTGACCCCTAGTTGAGAAGATGATTCTGGGGTTGTTTAAATATCTAGTTAGCTCAGGGGGAAAAAACAAAACATATCAAAGGGGTGCATTTTTCTCAAGCTTGGTGGTTGTCAGGGCAAGGAGGGTTGGGAAACCTGCTGAGCTGGGATCATTGCTCAGACTAGAGAAATAATTCCGCTTCTCTTTACTAGAGAACCACTGATACATGGCTGCAGGCTCTTCTATTTTATTTTAGGGATATGTTGCCAAAATCAGGGATAAACCATTCTCTCATTTTGTCTTCATCAATGCTTTCCCTCCCACTAGGTTCCTTAGAAAATTATTTTCTTATGATTTTTTAATAGCTAGTGTTTTGAAGATAGGCTAACTACATGGCTAACTTGGGCAGCTAGTCCAAATCTCATTGCCTGCACTATTTGACTGGGGAAGAAGAAAATGGCTTGATGAAGTTGCTGCAGAGCTCCTTCGGGCTTTGAACAAATTGCTCTAATATGAGAAGTCGCCACTCTGCTTCCCAGTGTCATTAAGGAGCCCCATGTGAAGGAACGATATTAGTTTTCACTTAGAGAGCGAAGGCCACCAACAACTGGAAAAAAGAAAACTGAAATGTGGTTAATGGGCCAATTTGGTGACACAATTGGGAACCCAGACATTTTGCCTCCTGCCAAGCTGTCTTGAATTTGTATGATACAGAAACAGAGCAAGAAGAATAGATCAATGCATTTGTTCGTTCTATTAAGGGGAAAAAGAAAAAGGCATAGTTTGGATTTCTTTCTTTCAAAACCAATTACTCCACCTCATAGGCATGGGAATTGCATAGCACTATCTTTGTGTAGAGAGCTGGAAAGTCTCCCAGCAGGGAAAGGTCAAGTTTTATGCAAGGAAATTTGAACCAATAATCAGCCTTTCACCTCCATGATATCTGTTGTATTAAAAACTTAATAAATATTAATTACATGTTAGGGCTATTCTTGTTTCATTTTACAGATCTGACTCACCTGAATCTTTTTTAAATCTGCAAAGAAATGTCTATTTTTCTTTTATAAGAACTCTTGTAGAATGATTGGCTTTCTATCTATTTTGTGTTTTCTTTCTGTTCTGAGGTTACAGTAAAATTTGACAACATTTTAATACTGAACGGAATTGGTTTCTCTTCACCATGGAGAATGAATGAAGGCAGGCCTGACAGGAAAGCAGAGCACATGCAGAGAATGGAATTCTGCCCATAGCCAGCATCTCCATTTATTATGTGAGAGTAGGTAAAAACCACTTACTAACTAATGTTTTATCTTTAATTGTCCACCCTTGGACCTACTTTCCTCTTTCCCGAGTGCCCAGCAGTATATCCTAACATGATAAATGAAGAATTATCTCCTGTGATGGGCACTTGTTGCTTTTACCTATCTAGCATCCATTTCCCTCTCTTGTTAAAACAAAACCACAGGGCCAGGCACGATGGCTCACTCCTGTAATCCCAGCACTTTGGGAGACCGAGGCAGGTGGATCACCTGAGGTCAGGAGTTTGAGACCAGCCTGACCAATGTGGAGAAACTCCATCTCTACTAAAAGATACAAAAATTAGCCGGGCATGGTGGCACGCACCTGTAATCCCAGCTACTTGGGTGGCTGAGGCAGGAGAATCACTTGAACTCAGGAGGCGGAAGTTGCAGTGAGCCAAGATCACACTACTGCACTCCAGCCTGGCAACAGAGCGAGGCTCCGTCTCAAAAACAAAAATGAACAAACAAACAAAAAAACCCCACAAAACCATGACTTACTCAGGAAAAAACCCTTCCCCATCCTTAGTTCCTGTCATTTGGGTGGGTGGCTTTAGAAGGAGGCAAATGATGCAGGACTGGTTGGCCAAGCAGAACATCAAATGCCCTCATCCTTTTTATGAGCTCAGGAGTAAATATGTGAACCAGCCCCAGCTAGTCAGCACAGTCCTCATTTTGTAGGCCATGATGAGCTGTTTAAGGATTGGGACATAATCATGTCAGTTCAATACAAACTAACCCCAGGGTAATCATTTGAAAGAAACTGTATCTTTCTGATAGGCTTGGAGCTGGAAAGTCATAAGCCTGAACTGATGGGGCCATTCACAGAGAGGCTCTACCTGATAGTAAAGCCACCATGAAGGAGAGTAGAGCCAAGGCTGAGAGTGTGGAACCTAGTTCTGATGGCTACGTTCCCCTCTGAAGCTTCCTAAGACGTGAGCCATTAAATTTCCTCTTTACCTAAGTCAGTTTGAGTTGAGCTTCTGTCACTTACAGATAGATGTTAATACAGCACCCTCTTCCAAAATATGATTGATCCGTTCAACAAGCAGTCATTTTTGTATCTCTTATTTTCAAGGTATTACACTTGACTATTTGGAAATTTTAACAAGGTCTGGTTTATTAGGTTGATTAATATGCACTGAGGGAAATAAGAAATGAAACAACTGGAATATATATGGAAAAAACCATATGCATAAACATATGCATAAGTGTCCCAATAAATGTGCTGAGAAAACTACAACTCAAAGAACACTGAAGGGTAAAGTGATCTGGAAGTTTGCTTCATTTGGGTTATGAGGTTTGAATTAAACTCTAAGGATATATGGAATTTGGATTGGTGGAGAATAAGAGATCATTTAAGTGAGAGAAATTGCATTGGTGGAGACCTCAGGAGTGAAAAGGTGTAAGTGACTAAGGTATTGCATGAAGATGAATATGACTAAAGAGATAAAGGACAGAATTGGGTCCAGATAAGAGAGGATTTTAAATTTGGATCTGACCCAGTTAGTGATGACAATGCTCTGGTCTCTTAAGCAAGAGTCAAATGCTGAAATGAAATTTGGCAGAGTCTTTTGTCAGTAATGTTAGAGATGGGAGTGGACAACCAGAGACAACTGAGCAGAGGAAATGACCAAGAATCTGTTGCACAAATCTAGGAATAAATTGATGAGGATGCATTGACTGAGGGATTGGAGAGCAAGGAAAAATGTGAGTCTTTGGAGCAAAACACTGGCAGTCTTCAGCAACTGAGGAGACACGGGGGAGTAGAGGAATGAAATGGCTGTGTCATGGTTTAATGAATTTGAGATTTGAGAAATAAAGAATGAAAAATCAATTTGAAAGGAAAACACATTAGGCTTGATTTTAAACAGTAATTTGGGGACATAATAATTTAGTTTAAAAATCCTGTATGTAGCTGGAAATGTAGAAGGTTACAATGGAGTTGTGAGAACAATTTTCATGGTGTCTTTGGTCAACATCCTCAGAAATGAAGCTTCTCGAAGGAAACGATTATAGGCAAGAAGGACCCAGATTGAATCTTACATCTTAGAGGGTAGACACAGGCAGGACTGAGAAAAAGAAAGAGGAAATGGTGACCAGCTTTGAGTCTCAGTGAAGGAGGATTAGATATTGCAGTACAGATGCCCGTCAACTTATGATGAGGTTATGTTCGGATGGAGTCACAACAGCATTACATCCTGACATCCTGACATCACTCCATCATAAGTCAAGGAGCACGGTGAATGCACATCGCTTCACACCATTATAAAATAAAAAAAAATCCTAAGTTGAAACATCATAAGTCAGGAACCATCTGTATTTCTAAAAGTTGCCCCAAAGGTTTTGTCAAGGTAGAAGAGACTAAGGTGTATTACTCATGAAAGGCAGTTATACAAGTGAGAGGAAGGGGGTGAGTAAAACATGTGAGATGGGATTAATTCACAGTGAAAATGTGTTTGGTTTTTTTGGGGGGAAAAGGGCCACACGTGTATGCAATAAAGAATTTGCATGGGCAAAAAAAAGAATCCCAAATCAATTTTATTGTAAAGAACACTGCTCTTAAAATACGTTTTCCCCAATGAGCTTATATTATATGCATAATTTTGTAGTTTGTAGACTCATATAGATACAGACACAAATGCACTAGGAGGGTGTCTGGATAGTCTGTGTGGGGAATGGAGGGAAAGTGATGCTATAAAAGCAATCCAGACAGGACAGAATTACTCTGCATCCATGACAGCATGTGTGGCTTGTTGCCATTGGCAGCACAATGTGTGTTGCAAATCAAATCAAATTTTTGTTTCAGTTTTCTTATCTCTGATCTCACAAGAGACACACTGAAAAACCTGCAATCCCCACTCAAACACGCCCCAAGACATCCACTGAGACTTCTAAGGAAAAGCAGAGTTCATCTGAGCTTGGGCCCTTAAAGTTAGCCTGTGGTTTCTGATGAGGGAGATCTAAAGCATAGAAGTTGATCCTATATGCTGGTGGAGAGATGACTTCACAGAATTTTAGAGGGATAAAAACATCTAGACACACATCCACATCCACTGCCTACTCATACACACATGGAGAGAGTCACGTTTAATAAGATCCAGACTGATTTGACTTTAAAAATATTATCTGTGCTTTTAAAATAATCCATGCTGGCTTCAGTTCAACTCTTCAAATAGTAACTAAAGTCAGCTCATCTTCTATATGCATCTGTTTTGCATCCTTGAAATAGAGTCCTTCAGTCTCCTGTAATAGAAGGGTCTGTGAGGCTAAAGCTATCAGATACCGTTTCCTGAACCTTGGAAAAAATTATTCAGTTAGAAAGTGATTGAGTTCCCTGTCACCTTCAGTGTGGCCTGTCCCAGAAGCCCAGTCTCAGGAATGCAGGTAAGAGGAAGACATTCTCTTCCTGTGATATAGGCAATTCCCTAGGCCACAACCAGAGTAGATACGGTTCTGAGTCCCAGGATGTGCTAAGAGGACTTTTGGATTCTAGCCCTTGCTTCGAAAGAAAGTATTTTAATGCTTTTTGTACCCTCCTCCTGCCAAGTCCCAGTTAAATGAAAATGGGCCTTAAGAATTAAGCCAGAAGAAGAAAAAGAGATAAGTGGGAAAAGGGAGAAAAAGAGAAAGGAAGAGAGAATCAAGTAACGGAAAAAAGAAAATAAAGCAAAAAGGGAGGAAGGGAAGAACGGTAGAAGGAAGGAAGGAAAAAAGTCCAGAAGTAAGGGATTCCGTGAGAGACACAGAGAGCGAGAGCCGGAAACAGAGGGTTAGAGAGGAAGCGGGAGGAGAGGTTGTCTGGAGCAGCTCATCTGAACAAAATCAGACTTCCCACAGGCAGCTGCTCAAGTGGCCCAATCCATCATCCACATCTCAGGCTCCCACGATCAATGGCAAAGTCAGTCATTTGACCATCCATGTAACATCAGAATCATTATGAACCAAACACCAGAGACTGGTGTATTGAGCTGCTCAACCGTTTGCACCAGAGGTAGGGAATGCTGAACAAACAGGCTCCACAAACTGCACCTCAGGGGTGTGCGTGCTTGGTTTTGGACTAGGCCATTTTTCTTGCGCTCTAAAAAAGTTATAAGACAAATCATGTTCTTAAGAGATGACTGTAATCCATTCTTCTGCTGAAGAGGCATCTCATGGCATACAATGTCCAGCCTAGAGACTACCCTATGGCATCACAGCATTCCTTATCCTGCCCCCAGTGACCTCCTATCCAATGGGCTCTTCTCAGGTTAGATCTCTCTTGCCTTGGATGCTGTTGATCATTCTCTCCTCCATGGAAATTTGCCTCCTTTGACTTTAGAAAGAATGTCTTTCCCTGCTTCTTTATCATAGAGTGACCAACCATCCTGGCTTGCCCAGAGTTTAGGGGTGTCTAAAACCGAGGGGTTTCTGGTGCTCAGGATTTTTAGTGCTAAGATGGAAGCTTCCAGGCAAAGTGGAATGGGTTGGTCACCCTGTCTCACCTCACTAATCTCTGCCCAGCCCCCAGTATGGGTTCCTTTCCATTGCCCATACTTTGAAAGCAGGATGCCATCTTCCTCTCCTTAGATCACACTTTTTCCAGGGTATCTTATTCATTGGGTTTTTAACTTTTCCTATGTACTGACATGTGCAAATGTGCCTCAGATTCAACAGGTTGCTCACAGGGTCACATCTATACATGATATATCCATATAAGCCATTCTCCCATTGTCTTTCTCAATTGTCCTTTTGGCCTTTTTAGGTATAACTTTAGCTAGATCTTCTCCATATAGTTTTACCTGATTTCTCTAGCCATTTCTAGTTTCTCTTCTTTCAGACTTCCTTTAATAGAGACTGCATCATACACCCCAGGACTTAATCATACCGTGTTCCAAAATGTTACCTAATTTTGTGCATTGATCCTATAGGTCTTTAAAATTATGGTGTTGAGACAAGTAGACCTGGATTTTGAGCTCTACCAATAATTTCCTAATAGTCATTGAGCACATACTATGGAGAGCCAATATTTCAACTGTTTTATATTGTGTCTTATTTATTCTTTACAACTTCATGAGGAACCATTTTACAGATGAGAAAAGTGAGACTCAGGGGTATTAATAACATGTCCATGGAAACACAGTAGGTAGGGTTACTCTTTAGTTGTCTGAATTAGAGCTAAGTGCTTGGCTAGTAATTGTAGTTAGGTTTCAGTAAAAGCACGATTAAATACACCATGACTATTTTCAAGAAAATTTCTTAATACTTGAATGTTTATACTACTAGTGACCAAATCTTTCCATAAATTCTCTTCTCATTCTCTCATAACCTGCCCAGAATGTCTAAACAAAAGCTGCTTTGGCCCTCAGAGATTCCAGGCCCATAAGAGCTTGATGCTAATGCATCCTGTGGCACTCTTGCTCTACACTACCCTGAAACTCCCCCCTTGGCCTCAAACCATTGTAACATCCCCACCCTCCCCAAGTAAATATTTTATCTTTCACAAGCAGCTGGAAGAAGAGAGGTGCACTAGCAGCAGCCTCGGTCAATCCTGCTTAAATATTGATCACAAACATCGTTAAAATAAAAGTCTATCGACTCAGCTGGTGACTTTGCAGCTTCAACACTTTGCAGAATGCAATTTTCCATGTGCGGTGACTCCAAGCAACTTACTTGAGTTATGATGTTAATAAGTGAGGCACCTCCTTCGGGAGAGCTCTGGTGTCCTGGAGGCAGCTGCAGAAAGGAACCAACCTTTTGGTTGGAGGCAATTACAAAGTTCCCTCCCTGCCTCCTTCCCACAGCCTTAGTATCCCTGCAGGTCAGCTTTTAGGATGCTAGCTTTTCACCTTTGGAAGCAGAGTTGGCATGCTTCCAGGAGCTGGAAATGAGTGTCTTCTGTGGCCTTGAAAACACAAGGACAAAGTGAAAGAAAGGAGAGTTGGAAGGGATCTGGCAAAACTGGGTTGAGTTTACTGCTCTGAGGCAGTTGTGCTCAAACTTTAGCATCTATCAGAATCATTTGGAGGACTTGTGAAAACACAGATGGATGTACCCTACCCCTTGGGTTTCTGATTTAGGAGATATGGAGTGAGGTTTGTGAAGCTGTATTTCCAACAAGTTCCCAGGTCATGCTGAAGATGCTGGTCTGGGGACCACACTTTGAGAACAGTATCATTATCCACAGCCATGCAAAGATAACTGGCCATGGAACCATTGCCTCCTCAGAGTGTTCTCTGGTGCCAGGCATCCTCTATTTTTGCAGCTTAGAGCTCATCTATCCAGTGGTTTTTAAACTCTTTTAATGAAATTTCTTACAAATGAAATCCCATGTGGAAGCCCAAGATATAGGAGTGATAGACGGCTTTGCTCTGGTTGAAGTGAGGGCAGAAAGCACCAGCAGAGTCCTGTGCCTCTGAGAAACATGATTTGAAAACCTCTGATTTACTCCAATCAGAATTGGGTGTTTCTAAATACACTTCTTTTACAAATGAGGCAGCTGAGACCCCAGATGAAGACATGGTTCATCTACAGAGAGCCAGGCTTAGAGCCCGTATTTTCCTCTTTCCCAGAACAGATATTACATCTAGCAGATGACGGATAGTTGACCATTCTTAGCAGAATGATGACTGGGGATGAAGAGACCTTTTATGGGAAAATTCAGCCAGTCATCAGTCTTGTAGGGAAATCTGTATCTTTCACATTGGCTAGTGGGGAGAAAAGACATTCAGAGCTTTCCCATGTGGCCTGGCTCTAGGAATTCATTCAGTCTGTTTTAGGAGTGTGCCTAGCCTATCCCTGACTCTGACCTCTAGACAGACAGATTCTCTGGAGAAAGGAGGTAGTTGTATGGCAGCATAAAGAAGGGTTGGCAAGAAAGAGGCATGGCCTAGGAAGCAGGAGGGGCATCTTATACATAGCACCTAGCTGTAATTGGCAGAAATTTGACAATGGGCAAATCTAAGGAGAAGAAAATGATAAAATGTTCTGCTTTTCAAATCTTCCTATGTGGAAATCTCAGTTATTGGATTGATGGGATAGGAGTGGAGAACCAGAGCAATTCAACAGAAGCTGAGCAAGAGGCAAGAGATTCTAACTCCTTTTCTCTCTCGTTTGTGTTTTTCCTTCCTGCCACCACTTGGGATCATGACAAACCCCACGGTCCTGAGTAGGCACAGGATAGTTGTCCTCTGGGTTCCCAAGAGGAAAGGTAAATGGAGTCTCATTCATGATAGGTTTCCCTCTAAAATGGGACATGAAGACAATAGGAGAGTCCCATTAACTGGTTTAACTTTGAAACAGTCAAGGGATACTGACTGTTTTCACTCCTCTGGTACCAAGTGGCACAGAACAGGTGACTCAGGTGGCACAGGAAAGCAAGGCCAGCTTAAGCTTCATGAGCATTTGCTCTGGGAAGCAAAGCAGACTATTGATGAGATGCTCAGCTCCATATGCAGAGAGGAGTAAGCTGTGCAAGTGGATTTCCATTGCATATGAAAACAACTAGAAAGCAAGTATATGTGCATTCCCCACATCCAGCAAACCCTATCCATTTTGTTCCCTTCCAACTCTCTCAGTTCTGCAGCCAACTCTTTCTCTGCTGGTAATGTTTCAGGAGTCCTGCAGTGTGTTGAGAAGGCCGTCTGTGACTCCTTTCACCACAGCTTTTACAGGACCAGCCACTTCTTCCCAGTTAGCTCTGAAGATAAATAGGGAGCATTGAGGCCTCAGGAGGTCTGATTGGGATAAACAGTTCCAAATGCTCTTTCGGAGTTCCTAGACCTTATTTGAAACAGCTGACATGCTGAACTCAGTCAGCTTTGACTGGAAATGCCATTCCACTTGAATGCAAAGTTTATGTTGCTGTTATATTACCCATAAGGAATGAATAAATAATAATTAAAATACTAAAATTAAGAGATTAAAATCTCTTTTAGGGAGACATAAACAATGCTGGAAAGGCTCTTGGGAAAGCATTTAATCTGAACAAGAGTGAGTCGGAATTGCCTTATTCCTCAGACATACCAAGCATATTTTTTCCTCAGGATCTTTGCATATACTTTCATTTAGGAACATTCTTCCCAGAAATTCAAATATATATATATTTACTGTATTAGTCCATTCTCATGCTGCTCTGAAGAGAAGAAATAACTGAGACTGGGTAATTTATAAAGGAAAGAGGTTTAATTGACTCACAGTCTTGCATGTCTGGGGAGGCCTCAGGAAACTTACAATCATGGTGGCAGGCACCTCTTCACAGGGCAGTAGGAGAAAGAATGAGTGCCAGCAGGGGAAATGCCAGACACTTAAACAACTATCAGATCTGGTAAGACTCATGCATTGTCATGAGAACAGCATGAGGGAAACCACTTCCATTATTCAATTACTTCCCATGGGGTCCCTCCCATAATCCCCATGACACGTGGGGATTATGAGAACTACAATTCAAGATGAGATTTGGGTGAGGACACAGCCAAACCATAAATATGGCTGTGTGAGTATATATCCCATATATGTGTGTGTGTGTCAGAGAGAGAGAGTGTGTGTGTGTATATATATATACACACACACAGACAAACCATATATATAATATACATATATTCATATATACATATATATGGGATATAAACACACACTATATATGGGGTATATACACACGTATGTGTGTGTGTGTATGTGTATTTCTCCCTTCTTTCGTTAAAGTCCCTGGTCCAACATCAGTGCCTCAGAAAGTTCTTCCCTAATCATCCTTTCTAAAGGGGCACCCCACCTTTATTCTCTATAATACAGTATCTATACAATTATCTCATTTTATTTGTCCCATAGCACTTATCAGTACTTGGCATTCTATTCCATGGTCTTGTTTCTCAGTTCTTGTTGGCCTGTCTTCTAGCAGTATGTAAGCTCCATGAGGACAGGGTTTGCTTGCCCTCTTCCACACTGTATCCTGAGGGTCTGAACTTTGATTTTCACATGGTGCATACTCAGTAAACTTTTTTTGAGTGAGTGAATTCTGGAGCTGTCGCCACCAACTCTACTCTTAGAAGCCTCCAGAGAACCTACCATTGTAAACTGTAAAGTGCCATATATGTCTATTATTATTGAGTATTAGTTTCTATTTTTAAGACCTCCATGTTGAAAAGTATTCTCCTTTAACTTAAAATCTTTCAGTATAGTTTTTTTTTCTTTTTAATTTCTTGAAGGAAACCAGGAGTGGTTTTTAGTTGCCTTCTTCAAAGAAAACAAAGTCAAATTCCATTTTTCTCTGAGAGTTGGCCTATTTGGTGCCAAGCCCTTTAGTACGGAGGGAGGGAGAGGGGAGCCATGTTTTCCCAAACATTTCCAGAATTACTAATCATGGAAAAGGTCTATTTCATTGCATTGATATTACCAAATGATTCCGTTTACTCAGAAATTTCCACAGAGCATTTTATGTAAACCTCAATGGCCTTGAGAGAGAGAGATTATTATCCTTATTTACTGGGGAGAAAACAGACACTGAGGGCTTCAGTGAGTTGTCCAAAGTCACAGAACCTTGGCAGCTGGAAAGAGAACCAGTTACTGGAAGTAAGTAGGCTTCAAGCTCCGATATTCAGGCCCCAAGCCCAGGGTGCTTTCTTTTCAAATATGCTACCTCTTCCTGAGAATGTGATTTCCAGGGAAGGTAGAGTCGGCTTTGCATTTCCCTACCAGGGAACTTATTTAATAAATTCCTATGGCTTTTCCTAGCAGATTTTGGGATAAGGAACCAAGTAAACATTTTGTCTCTTCACACCATCCTCTGTAGCTAAGTTTCAACAGAAGGAAAAACATTCGGAAATCAATCAGGGAGCATTAACAGGCTGTGCTTGCTAATAGTCTAATAACAAACGGTAAATACTCCTCTCTGCCTAGACCTGCCATCTGCCCCAGCAGGGTCAGTCACATGGAGAGACTTGGGGAGGCAGAAAGTAGTGTGCCAGAGAGGAAATCCAGACACAGCCTTACAGAACCAACAGCAACAAGGATGCCTCCTACTGAAGATGTCTTTCCAGCATGGGATGCTTGTTTTGGGAAGTGCAGGAATTAAACAGGTGGATCGTGGGGGCTGCATACCACCTCTGCTGGGTGTGAAGTCATTGCACTATAATTGCCTGACTCAGGGCTTGTGACCAAGGAGGAGGTCAGGTGTCCCAGGTCTTCTTTAGTTGAAAAGCACAGTTATCACAGGTAGCTGCTGCTTTCCCGGTAGGTGACATTCCTCTTAGGAGGTGGCTTATCTGGTGATACCCCAAACACTCAGCATGGTGCTGTTATTCTGCTCCTATTCTTCAGTACTAATTACACAGGTGGAGCTGGGTGATGGCTCAAACCCCAGAAGGGACTTTCGGGATTCCTATAAGGAGCAGACTAATTTACAGAGGAGACTGTGGTCTGCTGAAGGTAAAATCCATAAAATGGAAAGAATGTGAGCATTGTGCCATTTCAATGAGAATCAGTAAGTGAATAAGTCCTTCTGAGGACCTATCAGGTGTCCAAGAAAATGTTCTGCTCAATGTGCAAACAGGCTGTAACATGGCCCCTGCCTCCAGGAAGCTTGCAGTCTTTGTAGGGAGAGAAGCTAAAACATGTACCATATGTGAACAAAATAGAACGGAACTGAGTGCTAAACTGAAATATTTTAAGTGCCAAAGTGACATCTGAGGAGTGGACATTGAGCACACTTAATAAATACCAACCAGATTCATGGGCATAATGGAGCCTGAGCGGAGCACCTTGAATCATGGATGAAGTTTGACTAGAAGGAGGGGGGTGGAGAGCATTTCAGGGAAAGGGAGGACATATAAGAAAACAAACAGAGCCAAATAATGATGGCTTTCATGAATATTTTTGTAGCTCTAACTTTAAAACACACTTGTACGTATTTATACCTCACAGCTAACTTTCAGGTAGGCTGGTTTGCTTAGAGAAGAAATGTAAGGCTTAGAGACGTTAGAAAAAAAAATCTACTATTACTGTTAGGTATCAGAACTGGGGCAAGAATCCAGCTCCATGCCTTTCCCTTTAAAATCCAGAGGGCTTTCAGATTTTTCTGACTATAACCCAGAGTGAGGAATATATTTTACATCATAACCCAGTACACACATAATATTATTTTATAAAATAGTACTTATCATTATCAAGTGTCATGCTTCCTGAACTATTCTATTCTATTCTATTCTACTCTATTCTATTCTATTCCTGTATCAGATAATCTTTGTTATGTAACAGACTACTCCTAAAATTTAGTGGCTTAAAAAACAATCATTTATTTTTCTCATGATTTTGTTGGATGGATTCCCTAAACCAGTGATTCTCAACTGGGGGTAATTTGTAACTTAGGAGACATTTGATCATGTCTGAAGATATTTTGGTTTTCACAGCTGAGGTGGTGGAAACTATTGGTTTCAGTGGGTAGAGGCCAGGAATGCTGAAAAACCCTGTACAGGAATGAGCTAGTCTCAGCTCATCAGCTGGGCTCGTTCACACATCTGTGGTCATTTGGTGGCTTGGCTGGTGGGGTTGGGGGAGGTTAGCTTGTCCTGTATGGGCTTCACTCATATATTTGGTGGTAGATTTGCAGTTTCTGGTACAAATGACTGGGTGGGCTGTGTGTCTTTCTTTTTCTGCAGACTGGCCCATGTTTATTTGCATGGCAATGGTCTCAGAGTTCTCAAGAGCAGCAAGAGAGGACAAGTTCCAGTGCTGAAGCATTTTTCAAATATCTGCTTCTGTCACACTTAACTATTTTTCCACTAGCCAGTGAGTCACATGGAGGCAGGAACTAATCGACGATCGTGACTGCAACAACCTACCACAATTTCGTTAAAAGAAAATGCTGACTATGATCTACTAAACTTATTTCATGACTTACAAATGGATCCCTACCTGTGGACTAAAAGATCCTACTTTATACTAGACCTTTTGCGAGCTGGCCACTAGGAATTATCTTTGTATTACCAGAATATTGGGCAATGTCACATGCATAGTAGAGGCTCAGCATTTATTTTATGAATGGGCATAATAAATTGGAGGTGCCAGGAAAGAAACCTTGCCTTGCCTAGAATGGACTCCCTGTAAGAGAAGGTTGGCTGTGAGCCAGATCTTGGCACCTCTAAAATGCCAAGCAAGAAAAAATTGTTAATTCAGCTAACAGAATGAAGACTGAAGCTACCAGATTCTCAGCCAGGCTGACTTTTCTGAATTTATAGGATTTCTCATAGCAGTCTTTTAACTTCTGTTTGCTCCACCCATCAACTAAGTTAAAGTTCCTAGGTCTTCCCTACCTAATAAGGACATATGACAAAAAAAGAGATGTTATACTATAGTGAGTAACAATTATAGGGAGAAAAAAAATCATGGTAATTCAAGAAGTTGTGAGCCTATTAACTTTCTCAGAGAAAAGTTTTGCTTTTTCTTGGAGAAAATGTAAAACCACATGTTCATGAAAGCAAAGAAAGTTTTTTTAAAGGTCCAGAAGGCTGGCTTTCGGTTAATGGTATTAAGCAAGTTGCACTTTGTTGCCCCTAGGAAGTCAAGAGACTCTTGGAAGGTCAAAAATGGTGAAACAAATCTTCTCTATTCTAGTCTAGCTCTGACTTGCTGCATGTTGTAGGACAGGTTACCATTCCTCTCTGGGCCTCAGTTTTCTTTTTTTTTTTTCTTTTTTTTTTGAGGTGGAGTCTCACTCTATTGCACAGGCTGGTGTGCAGTGTCATGATCTCGGCTCACTGCAACTTCTGCCTCCCAGGTACAAGTGATTCTCCTGCTTCAGTCTCCCAAGGAGCTTGGATTACAGGTGCATGCCACCACGCCTGGCTAATTTTTGCATTTTTAGTAGAGACGGGGTTTCGCCATATTGGCCAGGCTGGTCTCAAACTCCTGACCTCAGGTGATCTACCTGCCTTGGCCTTCCAAAGTCCTGGGATTACAGGCATGAGCCACTGTGCCCGACCTCCATTTTCTCTTCTGTGGAGTGAAGTGAGGGGACCGAATGACTGTGAAGATTACTTCCAGCAAGCAAATTCTGAGAGCCTGTGCACCATCTGTGTCTCTGTTGGCTTTGAGGAATTTTGACCTTGTTTCCTCCCTTACTTCATTGTTTTCAGGCACTGCCCTGCCTCATGAATAGAGTGAATGTTTGATGCCAATTACAGGATGACAGAGTCGGTGTCTTCCTACCTATACCCTGAAGGAAATTGCAGGCAGAAAATTAATCCAGACTTTTACAACAGATCCCCCTTCATACAACATCTGATGGGGAAGGTCTCTCACTTCCCTTCTGGCTCCCACATGTCACAGAACCTGTTGCCACATGATTCAATCCCCCATTCCCATTAAAGTTAACCATCCCCTTGAAAACGAATGCACAGTTAAGAAAGTGATAAGTTGATGCTTAAACTTTAAGCAGATTGCTTCCAGCTAATCTCAGTTAAGCGGCAGACAAAATCATAGGCATTCAGCTCTACATAAGCCCAGTGCCCAAGAAAATGAGTTGGGTTCCTTAGGGAAAATACTTGCAATGTGTGCGTGTGTGTGGTTTCTTTTTCTAAATGCTGAAATGGGATAAGCATGAAGGTGGGGGCAAGGAGGAAGGGGGAGATAAAAGGATGTCCTGCTACACTAAGGACAAAATTGGCTGTGTAGCTTTAGGAACATCATTTAACTACTCCTGAGAGTCAATTTCCCTATGAGTAAAATAGCGATAATGATACGTCTGTTGCAGGGCTCTTATGAAGAGGTAGTCTTCATGTGAGTAAAGTGATTTGCCCAATCCTTGCACATAGTAGGCTCTCAATAATAAGGGAAGAATTTTGCCTAGGTAGTTCCTGATATCAGTGGAGCTTAAGAGAAGGAGAACCCAGTACTGCTACCAAAGATTTTATGTGGAGATTAACACAGAGAAAAGCCAAAAGCTTTTTCATGCTTTGGAGAGAGAGCAGAGACAGGGCTGAATTTTTTTGTGTCCAAAGACACTTTTTAAACATATAAATTCTCATCCTTTTGTCCCTAAGAAAATATGGAAGAAGCCTCTTCTGCCTCTTCAGGATAATCAGAAAAGAACTACACTTTCTTATCAGTCCCTAGTATGAGAGTGGTAAGTACCACAAGGAGAGAGGAGGAGATATTAAGAATTAAGAAAGAAGAAAGAAAAGAGAAGACAAAGCATTGAGATGAATGAGGGAGAAATTAGCTCATCGCAGTGCACTCCATCTGGCTCTTTTCTTTATGTCAGCTTCTCCTGTGCAAATTCTGACATTTCCTGTGAATGAGGATCACCTAATATTTTCTGAGCAGCTCTTACGTTCCAGGAGCTGTGTCAGGCACTGGGGATGGGATGCATGGTGGAAAGGACACGTAGTGCCTGCCCTCAAAGAGCTTATAGCCTAGAAAGGAAGACAAATGAAAAAATGGCCGTAAAAAAGTGAACTACCCAGTCAGCTAGTCTGGAACATCAGAGAAGGTTTCACAGTTGGGTGCAGTGACATTTAATGGGGATTGAAGGAGAAGCAGGTATTCCTTAGGTAAAGAGGGTCGGGTGGGGAAAAGTTTTCTAGGTAGAAGGTATAGCATGGGGAAAGACCCTGGAGGGGGAAGACGGGAAGGACTAGAAGCAGAGGGAAGTGAAAGATGATTGGAGGGGCTGGAGTGGAGCAGATGAGGGTGACATGGATGATGCACAGAGGCTGGTGAGGGAGGTGGGATCTAACTTGCCATTTTGAGGATTTTCACCTAAGAGCAGTGGAAAACCTCCACTTCTTCTTAGTCCTCTGAGTGACATATAGAACATAACAGTAGCTTTTCTTTGGTACTTCAGAGTTTGTAAAGAGGTGTGGGATATATTATCTTCATTGTAAGAGGGTGCTGAACTGGGGAGAGGCCAGGTTAGTTTCCCAGGTCACAGAGTTAGTCAGCAGCATGACTAAGCGGTACAGGCTCCTTCCAAGCTCTTTTGTCTGTAATGATTTGGTGGGGTAAGGAAGAAGCTCTAAGGTAGAGGGCATGGCTTTGAGCTCTGGCTCCCAAAAAGTGTGCTAAAGTACCCCAAGGCACTGCAGCAAACTCACAGGTGTGCCACTGGATATTGTAAATTACTGAGGGAAATATAGTGATACTCGACATCCGTCAGACCCCATGCAAACTGCTAGCTCAAAGCAGCTCGCCCTTCAACAACAGACTGCATCACATGCCCTTTGATGTCATCATATTTTCTTTCCCTTGGGGTAAAATGTACATAAAATTTGCCTTTTGACCGTTTTTTAAAATTTCATAGTTTTGGGGAAACAGGTGGCATTTGATTACATGAGTAAGTTCTTTAGTGGTGATTTGTGAGATTTTGGTGCATTCATCACCTGGGAAGCATACACTGAATCCAATTTGTAGCCTTTTATCCCTTACCCTCTTCCTACCTTTTCCCCCGAGTCCCCAGAGTCCACTGTATCATTCTTATGCCTTTGCATCCTCATAGCTTAGCTCCCACTTATGAGTGAGAAATACAATGTTTGTTTTTCCATTCCTGAGTTACTTCACTTAGAATAATAGTCTCCAGTCACATCCAGGTTGCTGTGAATGCCATTAATTCATTCCTTTTAATGGCTGAGTAGTATTCCCATTGTATGTATAGACCACAGTTTCTTTATCCACTCATTGATTGATGGGCATTTGGGTTGGTTCCATATTTTTGCAATTGTGAATTGTGCTGCTATAAACGTGTGTGCAAGTGTATTTTTCAGATAATGACTTCTTTTCCTTTTAATCATTTTTAAGTATTCGGGTCAGTGTCATTAAGTGTATTTATATTTTTTTGTGCAGCCATCCCCTCCACTCATCTGGAGAACTTTTTCATCATTCCAAATTGAAACTCTGTACCTATTAAACAATAACTCCCCATTCTCCCTTCCCCTAGCCCCTGATAACCATTATTCTACTTTCTGTCTCTCTGAATTTGACTATTTTAGGTACCTTATATAAGTGAAATTATATATTTGCCCTTAGGCATCTGACTTATTTTCTTAGCATAGCATTTTCAAGGTTCATCCATGTTGCAGCACGTATTAGTACTTTATTCCTTTTTGTGGCAGAATAATATGCCATTATATGGACATACCGCATTTTGTTTATTCATTCAGCTATTTTTTTTTAGATGGAGTTTCACTCTTGTCACTCAGGCTGGAGTGCAATGGTGCTATCTTGGCTCACTGCAACCTCGGCCTCCCGGATTCAAGTGATTCTCCTGTCTCAGCCTCCCAAGTAGCTGGGATTACAGGTGCCTGCCACTAGGGCCGGCTAAGTTTTCTATTTTTAGTAGAGACAGGGTTTCACCATGTTGGTCAGGCTGGTCTCAAACTCCTGACCTCAGGTGATCCACCCACCTTGGCCTCCAAAAGTGCTGGGATTATAGGCATGAGCCACTGTGCCCAGCCATTTCATTCAGCTATTGATGGATATGTGGAATGCTTCCACCCTTTGGCTATTGTGAATAATGCTGCTATGAACATGAATGTACAAATATTTGTCTTGCTTTCAATTCTTTTGGGTATATATCCAGAAGTGGCATCCCTGGATCATATGGTAATTCTATGTTTAATTAGTTTGATTGCCGTATTGTTTTCCACAGCAGCTGCACCATTTTACATTCCCACCAGAAACACACCCTCACATCTCTGTAAAGCAGTGCTTTTGGTGGTTACTATAACAAAAAGCAAGTATTGCATGGATATCAATGTGGAACAGGAAATAAGGATGACAGTGTTCAATTAGATTCCAAGGTTCGAAAAGCTCTGTACAGGCCCACGCATCCCATTCCTACATAATTATGGTTATTTGAGAATAAAATACAATTTTTTTCTTTCAACTAATATACATGAGTTTTTAAGTGGCTACTATGCTGTTAGGATATAAATACTTATGTATTTACCCTAACTACTTGATAAATGGAACAATTAGATATTTCCATTGGCTTAGAGACACCGTGAAATCAATTATGGAGGCACTAAGGTGCCATAAACTGAGGAAGTCTGGAAACCTCTGGCCTTTAATTAGTATTAAACTAATACTCCCTAATTAAACTAATACTCCCTAATTAAACTAATAATGGTGGGTATGAAGGAGAGAATATTTGGAAGCCTGGGGGTTTTCCCATTCTTTTCATCATGGTTTATGACAAGTTGCTGCTGCTAGAATCTTTCAAAATAGAAAGAAATGGCTTCAAAGTGGTACAAAGTTGAAAAATGTCAGCAAATCACTAAGCTTCCTCAAACTGGGGTTAGGTAACTCATTCCTTTGTATTTATTAATTTGAATTAATGATTATCCAATTTAGCCAATAGGGCAGGCAAATGCATCTTTAAAATATATCATCTCTAATCTCCTTCTTCTGGATTGGTAGCACTACCTTTAAATATGTCAACAGCTCTGACACAATCAGAAATAACAGCTGTCTCTTCAGAATACAGTGTCAGAGAAAAATTAAACTAACAGAAACATATTTCAGAAGTCACATCCTCTGTGGCATTTTCTTACCTCTCACAGAGGCAGCCATTTTCTTTGTTGTGGTCCCACAGATTTTGTTTATATGCCTTTCAATGAAAGCATTTTCCCTGTTGTATTTTGTTTATTTATCTATGCTTATTTATTTATATTTACTGTAGAAAGTAAACTCCTGAGGCCAGGGTCTTTAACTTACCACTTATGTCCTAGTTCCAGGGAGTATTAGTTTAATTATCTGGAGGAAAAAAGTAAAAGTAAATTAATATCTTTAGACCTAGAAATTGCACTTTTGTAATTTTATCTGAAGGAATTAAGAATAAATAGAAAAAAAAAGTTTTATGGACAAAGAAGTTCTTACAGCATTATTTCTAATCCAAAAAAAAGTGTATACAACTTCAAGTGTTTGACAATAGGGAAATGTTTAATTAAACTAGCATGCATCTCTTTAATGATCATGGGACCATTAAAAATAATGTTTACAAATAGTTTATATTAAGAAGAAAATGCTTATGTTAGCACACAAGTTTTTTAAAAAAGTAGGACTCAAAACTGGACATACAACATGATCTCAATTTTGAAAAACAAACAATCTATGCATCTAGAAGAAAAAAACTTTGGAAAAAAATAGATGAAGACTGTTTTAACAATTATCATCTTTGAATAATTAATATTTTTCTTCCTCCTACCTTTTTATGTTTTCCCATGACTTGTCTACGTATGAATCTTAGTTTATGCTCTTTTCCTCTGCTGGAATGCCTTTTTATTTATGCACAGCCAATTCTTTCAGGCTAACTCCAATCCTAGCTCTCTCATGATATCTTTTCCATCTACTTCTCTAACCTCCTATTGCTTTCATATAATAAAATGTTGAGCTAAAGTGGATGTTATTTTGAGATTTCCCTTTAATATCTCACAGTTGGTAGAAATGAAACGTAGGGTGAATCTGGAACCAGAGGGCTCAAATTTGAATCTCGACCCTATCACTTATTCCCTGAGTGACCTGCTGAAAGTTACTTATTCTCTGGGTTTTCCTATCTGTAAAATAGAGTCTTCTCCTGTATCCAGATACAGTATAACCTTCTGAGGCAAGACCACATCTTCATAGCCCACAATTGAGTACCTCTAAGGCTTTGCTATATGGTACGTCAAAAAGCAAAGTTCAGTTAATTGCATGTGATTCACAGAAGGAACATCATAACATCAATTGCATGCCTATTCATAGACACAAACTACTTTACAAAAAATTATGTTAGTAGTAACAATGACCTGCTGTAATTGGTATGGCCTTATATTTTAAAGGCAGTTATTTTTTAGTCACCTATTATAACTCAGATTTTCAGGAAGGCTCTCATTTGTTCATTCCCAGACAAACTTTCTATTGAGTTCACTTGTGTTATAGTCACTGTTCTAGATTCTGATGATGAAATGGAGGAAAACAGTTCTTACTTTTAAGAAATTTAAAATTTAGCGATGATTGTCATGGTGGATACAGACAAGGTAACATACAATTACAACATGGAGTGATAAGATTCGGTAGAACTATGTGTAGGATACACTGGAAGCTCACATACAAGGCAGTTACACAAGTCTGAGAGACAAGAAACAGAACCATGCCAGAGGAAGCAGTGATGTTTGAGTGGAGTCTCAAAGAATGATGAAGAATGATACAGGTGAATTTAGTTTAAAAATGCCATTCAAGGAAAAGAAAATAGCAAATTTAAAGGCCTGCATTGTATTATTCCTCTGGCATTCTATTTTGAGAACACAATGGTTATTTCTGGTTGAGTCAGAGTTGTTGAGAAATTTAACAGTAGGACTACTGACCCAGAAGAAGGGGGCTCAGAGATTGTATATATTTAAGATCAATTCCCATTGTGAAATGGAAGATGATTCAAAATGTCTGGAATATAAATTATAATCTAAAGCAAACTGAAAAATAAACCTAAGGGGGCCTAAATCCATCCTCACCATCAGAACAAGCCTGTAAAACATTTTAAATAGTGAGTGAAATTATTGGGTTAATTAATAAAAATAGTTTGGAGAAAAGGAACTTATTAGGAGAAGTTGCAGTAATCCAGCAAGACCTGCACATGGACAGTGGGAAACTGATTTGAGAAATAGTAAAGTCAAGTTCAGCAGAATGGTAGTGGATTGAGTGTGGCTGGTGAAAGAGAAGGAAGTGTCTAAAGTTCTCCCAAATATGTGGCTTGGGAAACTGAGTGAATGGTGGCGATGTTCATCCAGACAGAGATGCAGTATGATGTGTCTGCTTAAAAAGAAAAGTAAAAGCATAATTTTGATGTAGTCTTGAGCTTGAGTTCTTGTGGGATATCCAGGCAGAGATACATGGTAGACAGCTGAATATTTTGGCTCTAGAGCCAGGAAATAGATCCAAAATATACTTCAGAAAGCTAATGATAAAGTAAGTCTTTAAAAATAGAAATAGAAAACCAAATTCAAACAAAAAGTAGAGGAAGCAAAAATTCTAATAATCATTGAGATCGAACATTTAATTTAGCTTAGAGCTTCCTGGAAGTCAGGGCAAAACAGAAGCTTTTATTCTGTCTACAATATTTTTCCATTTGTCAGAGTTTATGAAAAAAAGTGAGTTTGCTCATCATAATGTATCAGAATTTGGGAGAAAATAACAGAGTGCTAATGATACTCTCTGAAATAAAAAGTCAGGAAATGCAACTTCAGGATGCTGAATCCACACTGGTGGGCACTGAAAACATGGCCCATTAGAGGATGAATATTGACCCTGTCGGAAGTCATAAAGAAAAATATCAATATGTTATTTAAATATTTCTTAGAGTTGGTTATCTTAATATAAATGCAGTTTCTTTAAAATGCTGTGTCAAACAGCACTTAGGATGGCTCTTATAATTCTTGGAAGATGATTGGTTAAAATTAAATGGAGTTGGATCTGGAACCCTATGAATAACCACCCAGACCCAACCTCTGAGTTGTCCTTTTCCCTGTCAGACACCTCTTCTGTGCCAGGTGCTGGACACCATAATCACATTTTAAGCCTAGACCCAATAGTGTTCCTGCTGATGACATACCTGTCCCATATCTCTACCATGGCTTGGGTGTGTATATTTGTTGAGGAGAACTGAGCTATTGCAAATGTATGCCATCCCTTTGTCCTTCTCTGAATAAGAACAAGGATTTCCCCAGTGAAGTCAGCTCATCTTTAGAGTTACTCAATTTTTCAAACATGGTTTACTTTGAGCTCAGGAGGAAAAGCATCAGGAATCTCAGCAACCTGTGTTATGACCTTATGAAATAGAGCCCAGGTCTGGCATCAGCTGTGTGCTCAGTTTCAGCTATATGCCAGGCCCTTGCAAAACTTGATGCTGCCTGGTTCTTCCCAGGAGGTGTGGTATATTAGTTTCCCATGGCTTCCTGATGTAACAAAGTACCACAACCTGGGTGGCTTTAACACCAAAATCCATTGTCTCGCAGTTCTGGAGGCTGGAAGTCCAAAATCAAGGTGTCGGCAAGATTGTTCCCTTCTGGGTGCTGTGAGGGAGAATCTGTTCCAGGCTCTCTCCTGGCTCCTGGTGGTTGCTGGCAATCTTTGGCGTTTCTTGGCTTATGCATCACTGGAATCTCTGCCTTCATCTTCACTGGTGTTTTCCTGTCTCTGTGGTGAAATTTCCCCTTTTTAGAAAAATACCAGTTATATTGAATTAGGGTCCACCCTAATGACCTCATTTTAACTTGATTACCTCTGTAAATATCCCTATTTCCAAATTAAGTCACATTCTGAGGAATGGGGAGTTAGGGCTTCAACATATCTTTTGGAGGAGGGCAGGCACAATTCTGTCCACTTTCTAAAAACTGAGGATTCTCAAATTTTGATATGCGTTAGACTCACCTGAGGAGCACTGTGTTCTAGGTCCCCATTCCCTTGACGCTTTTTCTCTTCTGCACATTACTACCGTTCATGCAACAGCTAAGAATAGTGTGGGTAATTTCTTATATTTCTGTAGGGAAATCTTTCCCAAAGTGTGCTCTGAAAATTTTAGTCATGCAAGATACTCTGCAATAAAAGATTCTACAGTCCATTTAGTACTGGAAAGATATTCACAAATCCTACAATTAAAACAACAACAACAACCTTTTAACTTTATTGTTGTTTTTTTGACTTGAGGATCTTACTAATATCCCATGGAATTAATGTTCTACAGAGAACATTATGGAAAATGCTAGTTTAATGTTTTATCATTTACAAAAGATATCCACAGTTATTACCTCATTTCATTCTTAAAATGGGCTCTGGTGGAAGCGGAGTGGTTATTATGTTTTTATTATGGAAAAACACGCAGTTTACAGGGTCTCCTCATTGGCCAGGATCAGGTGGCCAAAAACCACACTGATGGAGCTTGGATCTGCACCTCTTGATTCTATAATAAGTCCAGTGTTTTGTCCCGTGGCACCAGGCTTTTCAAAATTAGAAGAATGTTATATAATCTTTCCTTCCCTCTTTCTTTGCTATCATGATTAAATTCAAGCCAATTCTTTACCTTTTCTGAGAAGCAACAATCCATTTCCGGATGAGGTTGGGAAGAAAAATGCAGAAGAGAGTGAGGAGCATCCCACACCCAAAACACCAAAACATCTCCTGCTGCCGCCTCCTCCTCTCTCCCTCTTCTAGCTTTATATTTAGCAGTTGGTGTGCTCTCTCCCTCTCGTTTACCTCTATCCTTTTGGGAGGAACTCCATAGGCTCTATACATAAATTGGCTTCAGACTCACCACACATTCCCCTATTCCAGTGTCCTCTCCTGCCCCACATCTTTAAGACCCTACGTGATTGCTTCCTGATAGTAACATTCAGAACACAACTTTCATCTTGGGACTCTGTCTGTTGCCATAGAAATTTGCCTGAAGGGAGTCTTCAGCTTCCTGGAACATGCCTTGGGGGAATCACAAAAGCTCTCAGACACTAATGAGACAGGTTAGTCCCTGTGCCTTTACTCCCTGACCTGTGAATTGGGAAATGTTCCACCACCCATCCTCAACCCCCAACTCACAAAGGGCCACTGTTCAAAGGCTGGTTAGGGACAGATGCCTCCTGTGGAAGAAGGAAAGTTGATTTAACTTAAAGTATAGCCTAAGGTCCTTGTGGGAAGATTCTCCAGCATTTGGAGGAGCGGAAGGGAAGTTTATGTAACAGACATTGTTGTGAGTGTAGATTCTGTGCCATAGAATCACAACAATTGCTATATTAAGTCAGGCCTTACACTTTTTCTGAGCTGAAACTCCAATATGACTGTGGTGTGGAAAGACACGGCTGACCCTCTTGGTAATAATGCCATGTCATCCCTAGTGGGGACTCGGCAGTAAACCATCCAGGGAGACATAGGGAGCTAGGGCTGAGCCTGATCTCACATAGCCATTGTGAGTTATCAGTCTGCCTCCATGGAAAAAAATGTGTTCTGCAAAAATTCAGTCTCCAAAGGGGTCTATGAATTCAAGCCTATTTGGAGTCATGATGATCTTTCCAGTGAAGCAGGTCTACAGGATAGTAGGATTGCAGGCATTTAGCAATACCCCAGGTCTGGGTTAGCAGGAGCCCTCCAGGCACTGTCCAGGGTCATGGGGAAAGGAACTGGGGTGATAAGGCAAGCCGACAGATCCTGCACTAAGGAGACACTTTGCCAAATGTTGCACATTCCTTACTGTTTCCCTCATTCTGCTTGTGTTTGGCATTTGGTGCATTATATTCATTCTGAATTACTTGCCCTCTAGAGCAGGTTTTCTCAGCCTCAGCACTATTGTCATTTTGGGCTGGTTAGTTCTTAGCTGGGGAGCTCTCCTCTGCATTGTAAGATTCAGCATACTTGGCCTCTACCCACTAGATGCCAGAAGCACCTCCCTCCAGTGATAACCAAAAAATGTCTCCAGGCACTGCCAGATGTTTCCTGGGGTGCAGAGGGAGGAGGAGGAAATTACTCCCAGGTTGAGAACCACTGCTTTAGAGAAAAGAACTTCAGGGTTATTGGAAGGACTGACCAGAGCTAGGCCCTAGGCAAAAAGCCCAGGGTAGAGAGCTGAACTCCAGTCATGCTCGGGAAATGGAACGGCAGGGAGGAACCTGGGGTTCTTGCAGCTTTGTCACATATATAGAATGGATTCAGTAAGGGGATCTGCTGCCTGTGGCACAGCTGGTACCGAGGGCATAGTCACTCTCAGCCTACTGTATACTGAGCTCACAGCAAAGGGATTAATTCCAGACTTTACTTGCTGGCAGCACAGAGAATCCTTGAACTTGCTTGGTCTTGGTCAGAACAGCTCAAGACCCGAAGAGCACAGGTAGATCTCCACGACTTGCAGCAGAACAGGCATAGGAAAGTCAGAGGAAAAATGATGCTGCTGTTGTTGCTGCTGGCAAACGGATCTATCAGACTCACTGTGTTCCAGGCAGTAGTCTAATACCTTTATCTTCTTCCCATGAGATGTACCTCTGGCTCGTTTCCTGATTTTCTTTGGATCTCTGATTTAGTGTCGCTTCTCAGAGATGCTTTGCCTGGTCATCTTATATAACCCAGCAAATGCATCCCCGTCACTCCCCCACTATTCCTTTTACTCTGTTATTTACTTTTTAGTTACCTACGTCCTCACTCAGAAAAATTAGCTCTTTAAAAATAGAATCATGGCCAGGCCCGGAGACTCACACCTGCAATCCCAGCACTTTGGGAGGCCGAGGTGGGTGGATCATGAGGTCAGGAGTTCAAGACTAGCCTGACCAATATGGTGAAACCCCATCTCTACTGAAAATGCAAAAATTAGCCAGGCATGGTGGTGCATGCCTGTAATCCCAGCTACTCAGGAGACTGAGGCAGGAGAATCGCTTGAACCCAGGAGGCAGAGGTTGCGGTGAGCTGAGATCGTGCCATCGCACTCCAGCCTGGCAACAGAGTGAGACTCCATCTCAAAAAAAAGAGAATCATTTCCCATTTCCCATCTCCATACACTGCCAACTACACAATTTGAGGGGCACAAGTGGGCCGAATTGTGTGCCCCCAATTCATGTGTTGAAATCTTAATCCCTAAGTACCTCAGAATGTGACTGTATTTGAAAACAGAGTTTCCAAAGATGTTATTACATTAAAATGAGGCCGTGAGGGTGGGACCAATATGACTGATGTCCTTATAAGTGGAGGAATTTAGACACGAAAGGACACACCAGGGTTGAGCACCTGCACAGAGAAAACACCTTGTGAGGACACAGAGAGCAGGTGGCCTCCTGCAAGCCAAGGAGGGAGGCCTTGGCTTGGACACCTTGCTGACACCTTGATCTTGGACTTCCAGCCTCCAGAACTGTGATCAATACATTTCTGTCATTGAAGCCTGTACCATTTTGTTATGGTAGCCCTAGCAGGTTAATACAGGGGTTCAGTGCAAAATGAAAACACAGGCCTCTTATTCAAAAAGCCTGAAAACAGTTCCAGTCAAGATACTAATAGATAAAGCTTTTTCCATTTTTCCAGTTTCTCTCTCTTGGCCTGTCATAGTGGTTTTATTTCCTGTTTAATGTTGACTCCATCAAGCACAGGCATACTTGCCAGGCCAGGGCAGGCCTTCTCAGGTACTGGGTGCCCCCCATGTGTCTCAGGGCACTCAAGCCCCATGGGCTGCCAAGTTCGAGCTGCAAGACTGATGTGCTATTTCTTCCAAGGGGTCAGAGCCATGGCAGACGGGCACCTTCCAAGTGTACCGTAACCCTTTGTGCCAGGATGAACTAGTTACCTGGATTGGAGTGAGCAAGAGGCTGCTTGCCAAGTCATCTGCCAAATGTGCTGTGGCACTGCCAGCGCAGGGCAGGAATGGCCACTGCCATGCCCTGTCCCAAGATGCTGTAGGGCATGTGCACCTGACCCACTCCACGTCTGTACCTAGACTCCTGTTGGAGGCAGAAGGTGGCACTGGTTACATTTGGGAGCAGAGGGGAAGGCCAGAGCGATATCACCTATTTAAGGGAGGCAAGGCCATATGTAGGCTGAAGCTCTAAGCACCCAGGCCTGTTCCACTGCTCTATCAGACTTCACTTAAAAATTCAAATTCAAAGATACAGTCATTGGGAGTTTCAAGACAGCAATCTCAGAGCATTAAACTCCCATGTGAAGCCTTTTAGAATGCAGGGCCCTGTGCAACTGCGCAGGTCATAAACCCATGAAGCATTTACGCATGAAGCCAGCTCTGCTGCTATATCCCCAATGCCTAGAATAGTACCTAGAACATAGTAGTTGCTTAATAAATATTTACTGATAAATGAATGAATTTATACCATTTCATCCTCACAACAATGGAGGTCACTTCAATTTAACAGATGAAGACATTGAGTCACCTAGACGCTAATTTACTCTGTAATAATAATTTACTCAGTAATGAGAAGTTGACATTGAGTTGTGCGATAGATCCGTGTGAAATCTGAGGTTAGAATCTGATTCTTCTGTTGAGGGCGCAGAAGCCATTCTCAAAAAGTAGTTTAGGGCATGGGCTTTGGAGTCAAACAGGCCTGGGTTCAAATGTTGGCTCTGACACTTCGTAAGCTGTGAGACTTAGGTAAAGTCTTTCACCTTTCAGACTCTCAGTTTCGTCATTTGTCAAGTAGAAATAACATCTATCTCAGGAATCGTTTTGACTTTAACAAAATACATGCTTCCCACCATACCTGGCACTTGGTAGGCTCTCAATGAGTGGTAGCTAGTATTACTCTTTTTGGAGGTTAATGATGTATTATATGGACTCTAGAGTCAGACTGCCTGCCTTCAAAACCCTGCTCTTCCATTTCCTAGCTGGGTGAGCCTTGGAACAGGTACTTTACTTCTCCATACCTCAATTTCCTCATCTGTAAAAATGAGGATAAAAATAGTACTATCTTACAGGGATGTTTTGAAGATTAAAGGAACTGATGTTTATAAAACACTTAGAAGCAATATCTAACACACAAATACTCTGTACATGCTTGTTAAGTAAATAATTAATAGTTTATGAGACAACTTTACTGACTAGCTTTTTTATGTTTATTCCCTCAAACTCAGATCTTCGTGTTTAGGGCCCAGATCTCACTGAGTGTGCTGAAGTGAGGAATGGTCCAGATCTTATATGTTCATTTGTATCCGCTACACTCTTACCAGCAGTGGGAACCATGTTGGACGTGGAGTGCAATGATCTGGCTCTCTCATACTTGTGTTGCGACTTCATATTAATTGTTTCTCTCTAGTCCTCACTTTCTCAACGTGTTTGGGGGTGGGAAAGACATTGAACTAGATTATTTCCTAGGTCCTTTCCAAGTCTGATTTTCTACACATCTGATTCATTTCTAAAAGTACCCCCTGCCTTCCCCGCTGCAGCTCCAGTGGTTCAGCAGATGACCTCAACTTTCTCAGCTTCAATTTTGTGGTGGGCAAAGAGTGCTTCAGGTCCCAGGAGCATCGCAGTCCTGATCTGACCCCATAAAGAGGAGTAAAACAAACAGATGAGCTCATGTCTCTGCTGGGGATGCAGCTGATGGGATTCCTTCTGGGATTATTGGCCTCCCCTTTCTGGCCACCTTCACTGTGAAAGGTTATTTATAGCATTGTCCTTGGCTTAGAAAATCTGTTTCCCATTTTCTTGCCAATCTCTCCTCCAGTCCACCTTTTGCTGATTCCATTTTTTTGGTGATGGTAATCCTTCCTAAGCACTGTCCCATTGGGACCCCAAGGCCCCCCAAATCCCATGGATCCCTTCCCTGATTCTGACAGAGGAGATGCTGAGGGGTGGATACCCCGAGAGTGAGACTGGGATGAAGACTTTATCTGCTCCTTGCAGCTGCAGCTTTTGTGAGTTGCATTCTCTGGCTCGTCAATACCGTTTCCCATTAAATTAAATAGCTTATTGACTCATGTGCCACCCGGCAATGGGGTTGATGGGATTCACCGAGACTCCTCACTCCTCCCCTCTCCCCCAACAATCACAGGTCACTGCTCAGTAAATCAGCTGGTAATGGAGTTTGAACTCTTAGAATCAGCTCTGTGTATCCTTTTTATTTGTTTTTAATTTGTATCAATGGTAATTCTGTCTGTTTCAATTTATGTGATAGTACAGGCTGCAGAACTGAGGAAGTGCCCCTTTTTACCCCATTAACCACAGAGGGGGTAAAAATCCGTGTCAGGCTTTTTATGACAAACCTGCTCCAGTGGGCAAGGGATGATTCCCTTTCATGGAAGTTCCCTCTTTGTCTGGGACTCTCCAAAGTGCCTCCCATCTCCACCAAGTACAGGGCTAAGCACTGAGTTTGTTTTCCTTGGGCCATGGTCCTTTGTACCTCTTTGTTCAGACAAACTATCGAAGAACACAGGATGGCAGCATCTGGAGAGAGAAGATGGCACCCCACAATCTCCAGGATTCTGTGGCTGGTAAAGTACTTTCTGCCATGCAGGTTCCTACATATTTTGCTATCGGTCCTGCTAGAAGTTAAGTCGATGGCATCTCATCTCTACTCTAGCTCTCCCAAGTTATTTGCCAGCAGGCGAATGCCATTTGCAGCTTATTAGTGTCAAGACACAATTGTAAAGTAGATATAGTTTGCTACAGTGCCCTTTAACTTCCTTTGGTTGTCCTCTTTTCTCCCCTCTGGCCTTGTAGGAAATATGGAGATACAGAAGGAAAATTAAAATGCACATAAGAATGGTTGAAATGAGATGGAGGAAGTAAATCCACAGGAATTCCCAAGACAAGGGTGGCAAAGGTTGGGAATGGTTTGGGGAATACAACAGGCAGAGTGACCTGACAGAGCTGCTCCCAGGAGGGAAGCAGACTAGCCCCCGTGTCACTGGGGGGACATATTGACTCTAAAGGTTTCTGAAGAGGGTAGGGCAAAGAGCAGGCAGGGCCCAGCAGTGCGGGAAAGACTGGAGGTAGAGGAAGTAGCAGAGGAGCTACTTTGAACTGTGACCCCAGCCCGCCCCCAGCATGGTCCCACAGATCTTCATTGAAAGCAAGGAAAAAAAAAATGAAGGTGACATTGAGCTCCAAGCAAAATATAATGTTCAAAATAACATCCCAGAACACAGAGAGAGCCATGAGGAATTCAGCCTCTGACCTGGAGGATTCAGGGTGAAATTATCTAAAGCTCTGAAGAGGACTGAAGCCCCAGCTGGTGTTGGAATGACTTTGCCACTTACAGGGAGCAAGTTTCTGCTCCCACAGGAGCCCCTGTGTCCTCTGTGTTCTGTGGTTCCCTCTCAGGGTGACCCACTCTAAGCTACCTCTCTATCCTCAGGTGTCTCTTTCCCTCTTAGCCGTGAGATTCTCACTCTCTGTCTTATCTCCTGGCTCCGGGAAGCTGATTCTAAAAGTCCACACTATCCCAACTGAGGACAAACTTTCCATTGTTTAATTTAAAAATTCAAAATCTCCCCTGAGCCAAACCTCCCAGACTGCTGGTACTTCCCACTGTCTTCTGGTGTGAGATTTCTTCTGAAATTCATTGGCTAGTGTGCGTTGTAAGTGAAATGCCACTGATCATAGAACTTAATTATTTGGTTAGATCTAGTTATTTTTACACCCAACAGATTAGTTCCTCCTATCTCTAACCAATTTATGAACACGAACTCAGAGGGCCAGACTTCCACAAGTACCCATTTCATGGATCTAATAGGAATCAATCTGCTGAGTTGATGGTGGGATTTACAGATTAAGTTCCAGGTAGAAAGAGAGACAATTTGGGACAGACAACCCTTCCCATGGAGGGACATCTTAATGTAATGGAAAGTCATATAGAGAGAGGGCTAACTGAATGATAAGCATTTCACATGCATTATTTTGTTTACTCCTCCTATCAATCCTAAAAGGCTGACTTGATAAAAATCTTCCTTTCTTTATCTCCAAGATGGGAGTAAAAATACTATTTACCTTAACAGGTACTTTTAAGGATCAAATAAAATAGTATATGTGGTAAGAGTTTGTAAATCACATGCATTTTACAAATGTTAGTTGACGCTCTTATTATCCCTCAAATCAAACCATACAAGCAACTGGTAATTTCAGGTGCAGTCTTAGGCCTCAATATGGTTCGCTGCCTCCATCAGACCTAAACTACTTAGCTCTGTAGCCAAAATTGTGAATTTGATTACATCTCATTGCTTTGCTCACAGGCACCAACATTTCTTTCCTGTATTAAAGAACAGTGTAATAAGGTGAGAATTTCTCTCTTTGTCCAGGGACTGGGATCTAGCTTAGCCCCTGAAGAGAACAGTTTCACAAGTCCCTGGGTGAGCTGGCTGGATGACCCTCAGGTAGAACTGAGCCTTCCCTCTAGCTGAGGAGGTTGGCCCCCTTGGAAGTGGCACAGACTTGCCTATTTGATGCTGTAGCGTCTGACTCCTGGAAGCCTCTAGCTGCTTAATGGATTCATTTAAGTGATAATACGAGCCGATCATATGTCAGGTTGTTAAAATGGTGATAACATATTGCACTAGGAGAACATTATCTACAGTAACTGCATTATAATGGTTAGGGAATGTCGACAGAACTACATATGATATTCCCATAAACACCAAATGAATGCAGAGCAACTAGGCTATTCATTCCAAGTGTGGCCAAGGCAAGAGGTAACACTTCATCTTCCAGGCCCTCGTTTTCCAAACATTGCAAAAAGGAGACATATGCAGACAAGTGTTCACACATCAAAGGCAAACAAATGCACATGCTTCTCTGATTTATAACCAATCCGGAAACCCACTTACCCAGCTTCAAGGGAGGGTGTGAGCTCACAAAATGTTCTTTCCCAAGGAAGAGAATGAATGAGAGGGACAGAGGGAATGTAAGATACTACATGAGCAGCAGGAACCGTGAGCTCTCTGTCCCCTGTTTCTGCTTTACTCTACTAGAGAATTTAAAAGGGGTGGTTGGGTTGCACAGTAAAGCGTCTGCCCTACTTCCCACTCCCTGCACCCTCTAGGACCACCCATTGAGAAAGAATAGTTAAGTAGATAAAAGTTTCTCTTTGCCACCTTCAGCCCCAAGTTTCAGTACTGTTCTCCTGTCTCTTAGTATCTCCCCAATACTCTTCTCTAATACCTCCTCCTCTGATGTTCCGTCTTAAAGTGTTATTCCTCTCATGGTATTTATACTGTAAAGAAGAGTACTACCAGAGCAGAGAGATTCGGCTTATTAGAACATATAGATGTGACTTTGGGCTTCCAACTTCAAATTGGCAATACTAATAGTTACCTTTCATTCAGTGTTTCCTATGAGCTAAGCAATGTGTTTTACATTATCTGTAAACTTCAGAAACATCCGCAAGGCAGGGTTTACAATTACCATTTTAAAGATGAGGTAACTGAGGCTCAGACAGTTAAACAAGTAGCCAGAAGGGAAGAAGCTAGCATTGATATACAACTCTGCAAAACCCTTGTGTTAGGCAGGTTTTCCTTTTAAAGAGCCAAACATCTCTGAGGCCATTCCTTATTTTTTACTTTCAAAAATATTGTTCTACCTTACAAGGCCACTGCGAAGGTCACTTTCCCTTTGGAAATTGCAAACAACTTATACAGATGTCAATAAACACCAGTACAAAGTAAAAAAAAGAGCCCTGAGTCTGGAGTTACAAGACTTGGATTCGAGTTCCTCATTGAATAATATCCACTGGGAAAATGGCTTTATATCTTTGTGCCCTGTGATATGGTTTGACTGTGTCCCCACCCAAATCTCATCTAGAACTGTAGTTCCCATAACCCCCACGTGTCATGGGAAGGACCTGGTGAAAGATAATTGAATCATGGGGGCAGTTACCTCCATGCTGTTCTCATGATAGTGAGTTCTCATGGGATCTGATGGTTTTGTAAGGGACTTTTCCCCCTTTTGCTTGGCACTTCTCCTTGCTGCTGCCATGTGAAGAAGGACATGTTTGCTTCCCCTTCCACCATGAGTGTAAGTTTCCTGAGGCTTCCTCAGCCATGCTGAACTGTGAGTCAATTAAACCGCTTTCCTTTATAAATTAGCCAGTCTTGGATATGTCTTTATTAGCAGTGTGAGGATGAACTAATACATCCTGTCTTCTTCCTGTAAAATGGGGTTGCTGTGAGCACTGGAATCCTTTACTGCCTGCCCACTATGTGTCCTGTAGTGTGCTGGGTCCAGAGGCCTCTGCTCTGTAGCAACTTATAGTCTAAAGGGGCAAATAGATTGCATAAACAGATAGTGATAATAAATGTCCATCAGTGCTATAATAGAGGTAAGTATAAAGTGATCTGGGAGCACCAATGAGGCAAAGCGACTGGTCCTCAGCAACCTCGTTACAAGGAAACAGATGGATAGTGTTCTATCAAAACTAATAGAATGGAAGATATTGCAAAGGCAATATGTGCTGAGGTGCTTGGTAAACTAAAGCACCAAACACATGGAGAGTTTATGATTTGCTCAAAGGAAGGAATTGCTATCTAGAAGAACAGCTATCTTGCCAGCAGGGGAATATTTTTAGGGGAAATACTTCCCTAAAAACATAACACCTCTGGGAGGCTGCCTAGTCCCCTGGTCTACTTCAAACCCTGTTTCTTGGTTTAAACCTAAGTCCTTCCCCACCTCTCTCTATTA
The DNA here is from genome assembly GCF_000001405.40 of Homo sapiens. Classification (NCBI taxonomy): domain Eukaryota; kingdom Metazoa; phylum Chordata; class Mammalia; order Primates; family Hominidae; genus Homo; species Homo sapiens. Next base: position 208,586,552 of record NC_000001.11, read on the forward strand.
TCAAGGGCAGGGAATTGTGACCTAACATGCTTGTAGGCCCCAGGCTTTCCCATCACCTGGGGCACTGAGCCGTAGGGAATGCCCCAGGGCCAGAAAGAAAGGCCTTTATGCTTTTAGAAAGTGATGCCACAGGGAGCTCTGAAACCCTGATCCCCCTGCCCTGGGGGAGCCTGAGGCCAGGGGAAATTTCTGGCAGCCTCTCTAACACTGCAATTCTCCCTGCTTACCTGGCTGTGATTTGGGGTCAGTGCTGTTGTTTTTCACTGCTTAATAAGGAACATCCTGGAAAAAGGCTATGCATTCCTCTGTTAAATCAAAACATTTTGTCATAGAAGACAACATGTGGTGTGATTCTATTTATATGAATTGTCCAGAATAGGCAGATCCATAAAGAAAGTAGATTAATGGTTGCCTTGGTCTGGTTGGGGAGTGGCTCTGGTGGAAGACAGGATGGGGGAGTGCACTGCTAATGGGTACAGGGTTTTTTTGGGGGTGATGAAAGTGTTCTAAAACTGATTGGGGTTATAGCTGCAAATTCTGTAACTATACCAAAAACCATTGAATTATGCAATTTAAATTGGTGATTGTATTTTGTGTGAATTATATCTCAATAAAGCTGTTAAAACAAAACACTCAGAAATATTAAGGTTTTGGCCAGGAAGTCACAATAAAGAGTCTCTTGGTGGTGAGAGAAAACAGTACAAGAAGCTGGTCTCTGATGTTCCAGGTTTCAGTGTTCATGTGGGGTTCTGCCTCTCTCAGTTCCACTTGCTTCACAATGACAGGTCCCCAGGGAAAGCTGGTGCTCTCTCCTCAGGACAGAGTCTGGCCAGCTCTTCTCTCCTCTGCCTGCTGCCTAATTTGCCTCAGCCAAGGCAGACGATCTTTCTTTCTTTCTTTTTTTTTTTTTTTTTTGGAGATGTAGTTTCGCTCTTGTTTCCCAGGCCAGAATGCAATGGTGCGATCTTGACTCACTGCAACCTCCACCTCCTGGGTTCAAGTGATTCTCCTGCCTCAGCCTCCTGAGTAGCTGGGATTATAGGCATGCACAATCACGCTCAGCTAATTTTTGTATTATTAGTAGAGATGGGGTTTCACCATGCTGGCCAGGCTGGTCTCAAACTCCTGACCTCAGGTGATCCACCGGCCTCGGCCTCCCAACGTGCTGGAATTACAGGCATGAGCCACCGCACTCGGCCAAAGATCTTTCTTTATAAGGCAATTAAATGTAAGTGGAAAAGATTAGTATAGTGGACGGGGGAAAGGGGGTGTTATTTTTTTAATGGGCATAGAGTTTTGGTTTGGGAAGATGAAAAAATTTATGGAAATGGATGTTGGTGAGGGTTGTACAATAATGTGAATGCGCTTAATGTCACTGAAGAGTACAATTGAAAATGATTAAGAGGGCAAAGTGTATGTTATGTGTGTTTTACCACAACCTTAAAAAATATTGTTATCACATAAGTAGGGTGGTCTCTAAAACATTATTGGAAAAAAGTAGGAGTCATGAAAAGAGAACTTCCTTGCAGGGATGGTATGGAAAGTATGCAAACTGAAAGTAAGCAAACTGATCATAGCTTAGTTAATATGACAATGCTGGCCTATTAGGAAATCTTGAAATTATACCCCTGTGAATGAAAAGGGTGCTTCTTCCCTTCCAACCTCCTTGATCCTGGAGAAGAGCTCCATGTCATGCTGTACTGTCTATTTGCAGTTGACAGAACCATGCTGCATGCAGGATGCTTTGGAAAGACATGTGTTAATAAATACTAATCACAGAGAAAAAGGAGTTTGGTATTGTAGGCTGTGTCTTACCCATCTCACCCTTCCCAGACCTGATACGCTGTTCTTATCTCACCACAATATATTTTTTCTTCTCAAATTAAAATCACTGTCACCATACACCCCAAACTCTTTTAGCATTCCTAAGCTCATCCACCCAGGTTCTCAACCCAGAAACCTTGAGGTCATCTTTGACATCTCCATCTCTTCCCAATAAACCATCAAAAACCTCTTAATTCTAGTCCAAGATATCTCTTGAATGTGTCTGTTTACTTCCATCCACACTGCCTCCACCCAAGCCTAGGCACTATTAGCACTAACCTGGACCTCTACAATAGCTTGTAGCAGAGTGGTCTCCCACTTCCATCCTGGGTCCCTAGTACTTCATTCTTTGAGAAGCAGTAAGAGTGACCCTTTTAGAGATTAAATGAGATTGGGTTACTCCCGGGCTAAAGCTTCACAGGCTAGCAATCCCAGCTAGAGCAAACTCCTTCCTGTGGCCTGCAGTGCTCTGCAGAACAACCACATGCCTGCCTCTGTCCATCATGTCATCATATCACCTTCTCCCTTACCACATTTTTCGAGGACTTTTAACCTTTAAAAAAGAAAAAAAAACCTGGCCTTTTTCAGTTCTTAAAAGGTCCCATGCTTTCCTTGGCTAATTCCTATTTGTCTTTCAGTTCTCAGATCAAATGTCACTTATGCAGAGAGTCCATTAATTAATTCATTTACAACTTATGCATTTATCCAATAAATAGATACCTAGCATATACACTAGTGGTAGGCACTGGAATTGGTTTTGAGCCCTCTTCCAGTCTAATTAAAGCCTCCTATTATTTCCTTTCATTGCACTCTGTTCTCTTTATTCACAGTATTGAACACAATTTGTCAGGATAATTTTAATTTTTTTAAAAAAGCCTTTCTTCCTACATAATGCTAAGGTCTTTGAGGGCAGGTGCTATTTAGTTCGCCACTGTATTGTCCTTATAATAACAGTTATTCAATAAATATTTGCTGAATGAATGAATATATCTTTAAATAGAGGTTCTTTTTGCCAGCAGCATATGGCATATGGAAAGTTTATTGCTTTCTTTCTCTTCCCGACTTCCTCCACATCATAAAATAACAGTACATGATGCTGAGGGTGGCTAAGTAGGAAATAGGCTTGCCAAATGCTTCCTAATGAGAATCAGCATTGGTTAATAAATGACAATAATAATGAGTAACATTCGTATAGCATTTTACAATTTGCAAAGCATTTTCCAAATGCATTATTAATAAAGATAATCTAGTTCTTTGTTGCCCTATAAGAATTACATTTAAAAAAAGAAAAAGCTTAAGGACAATAGGGATTAGGCTGTTACAATATTTAAAGTCTATTAGTAAAAGATCGGTGAGATAGAAAAAGAAGGATAACCCTTTCACTTGGTTGCTCCTTCCAAATCTTGAGGCCACTTTGCAAATTTGCAAAAACAAGGCACATCTTTTAAGTTCTTTGTATCTGTGCTCTATCAGAGTTTTGGGCTGCTCACCATGCTGGATTAGAACTTATGGTGCAATGTACACGACATGATGGATTCCACCTTAGTGTTTCATCAGTCTGAGGAATCCTCCCTAGAGCTCAAGGACAAAGAGGAGTCTCAGCAAGTAGAAGCTGGAGTACAGGACTCCTTGATTATTGGTTATAGAGAGAGGGAGGGTTCCCTGGATTGAATGCCCTGCCCCTACAGAGGCAGCCGTATTTGGGATTACTTACGTCGACCTGGGCACTCCGTTCCTCCCTGTTTTCTTCCAGAAGTCCTTCCTTTGTACCTGCACTGTATAAAGAATGGACCTTCCCAAATGCAAAGATCCATGATATATATTAGAAGCAGATATAGGAAATTGACTAGGGAATCTGCACAAATGATATTGTATAGAATTAAGTAGAAGATACCCCAACATGCACATCCCTTTACAGCTTAGCAACTGTTTTACTCTATCACATCCAAATGTCCTTAACTCTGGGCAGTAAAGTTCTGATCAGTTTACCTTTATCATCACAGCATGGCATTTTCAAGGACTCTGCCTGGCACTTTCAATCTTCTTCTCCTCTTGGTATCGATTCTCTGGTGTCATGATCGCAAAAGGCCATCCTGAGGGGTGGAAGCCCTTGGGAGGTAGAGGAGAGTGAAGTGACAGAAGAGATAGATCTGTCACCTTGAACGTATTCCAGCTCAGCCAATCACAGAGTTGGCCTGGGTCAGACCTGTATAATTTGGGGATGGGAGACCAGTTTGGAATACCAGGCACTGTAGACTGAGACACCAGATGCTATAGGGGAGCCAGAACTGAAACTGCTCCATCAGCTGGAGCTGCAATTTTTGGCAAGTCACTCTTCCTCTTCTTCTGCCCTCCAAACTGAATAGTCTGGTCTGATTTTCTCTGGGGTCTTTCTGCTCTAACATTCTATGATCTTAATTTTCATTTAATTATTCCACAATGCCTCAAAAATGAGGACACAATCAATGGTGTCAAAGGGCAAAGAGATATAGGATAAAATGAGAATAAAAGGTACCCACTGATTTTTGCCATTTTGAATGAGATGATCGGGGTGGAAGAACATGTTAAATTGAGGAGTGAATAGAAAGTAAATAGAAATAGATTGCAAAGAAGAAAAAGACATAGAGAAATGGCCAGAGCTGTGATGAGTCTGGTGAAATTTGGAAAGGGGAAATGATAGTACAAAAAATACAGCTGCCCCTTGGTATCTGCAAGGATGATAGGGTCTTTCTTCTTATTTCCCAAAGTTCTAGAAGGGATTGGTCCCAGGAGCCACACCGCCCCCTAACTCCCCACCCTCGGGACACCAAAATCCATGATGCTCAAGTTCCGTATATAAAATAGAATAGTATTTGCATATAACCTACCCATATCCTTTCCCATATTTTAAATCATCTCTAGATTACTTCTAATATCTGATGCAATGTAAATGTTATGCAAATAGTTGTTCTACTGTGTTGGCTTTTATATTTGTATTACTTTTTATTGTTGTATTGCTATTTTGTCCCGAATATTTTCAATCTCAGATGGTTGAATCCAGGGGTACAGGGAGCCAGCTGTATACTTTACTATTAGATATATAAAAGCAGCTAAGGAAGTCATATGCTATTCAACTTGTAGGATACTTTTCAGCTCTTAAATTGGGATTCCTGAGTGTTTTAGTTTTTGTTTTAGGATGACCTGGGGAAAAGATAAAAATTGATGGAAGTGGGAAAAGAGTAAAAGAGTGAATTGTGCTAAACAGAAGGATAATAGTCTTTTTTCTTATTCCCCAAAGTTCTGGAACTGAAGAAATAGAATATCCCTGGACACTGAAGGTGGGTGGAGATGTAGAGGAAAGAGTGTGACATTGGAGCATGTGGACCTGACTTACCAACCATGGCCAGGGAAACAGGATCCAGAAGACATATGGGCACCACCAGTAGACTCATGACTCAGCCCCTCTTCAGTCTAATGTTTTAAAAGCACTTGTTCAACCATACTTAAAGGAGAAGCTGACCAAGGGAAGGACAAATGACCTCTAGAGCCCACAGTTCAAATCTGGCCCCACACTTGGCACTCATGCATCCAAACAAAGGCTGACATTTGCCCAAACTGTCCTGTCTTAGAAAGCAGTTTAGCAGGTTCCTTAGAGGTCTCACCTCCCATCTCCAGTGATTTTTTTTAAAGTCTCCTGTTCCAATAGTCTCCCTGAGGTTAAATATGTGTATATGGGTGTGTACGTACTAGTATATAAATGTCTATGTATATGTGTATGGTTGTATCAGAAGTTTAAAAAATACAGTTCATTCTCTTTATTCATAGCAACTGTGTTCTATAAAATTACCAGGAACTTTGAATTAATGACTACTGAACCATTGATCCTAAGGGAAGGACAGGACTAGGTTCCTTGAAGCCTCTGGTCATGATGTTGTCATCAACTGATCAATACATAGCCTTGTTTTATGTTGTCTCTGTTTAAAGACACCTTTACTAGATATTGTTGACTCATTAACATTGAACTCTCGGCCAACAGTGCTGTAACTTATGCCTGGATGAAGCTTATCTAACACAGGTATTTTCTCTGTAAGGCTCAGAACAGTGTTCTTGCGCTTAGGAACAGTAGCCAGCCCTTCAGCATTGTATTTGGGGGGTCATTTTAAACAGCAAAATCACCAAAAAACCGCATAAAAATGTAAAAACATGTGAGACTAAATAGACTGCTAAAAGGACACTTGTTTACAGTATGAGAGCAGAAAAGCAAGGCAGAGTACCAGTTCATTGAACCTTTGCTGAAACCACACATATGGTGACAAATAGTTCCTCATTCTGCACATGTCTGTGAACGACTGAAAAAAGACCAAGAAAATGGATTGAGTTGTACAAATACATTTTAGCTAGTAGATGAATTCATGAATACAAAAAAAACCCATAAATAATGTGGATCAATCATACAGGTATGTGTATATATTGATATTGGGCAAGTTCTCTAATCTCTTGAAGCCTCAATTTACCTAACTATAAAATAGGATTCATAATACTTCCTTATAGTGCTAGTGTGAAGGTGAAATAAAATAATCTGTGGAAAGCATCTGCAGGATATGCAATAAGCTTTTTGAGCCACTGAGGAGGGAGCTATCACCTTTTCCCATGCACTCCCCTTCTCTTCATTTGGCAGCCTCATTTCTTCAGCAGACCATCCATGGTGAGCGGCTCTAACTTTCAATCTGGCCAGATCATTTTCCCCTTGTATTAAAATTGTCCTGGAAAACCATTAGGTTGATTTTCAATCATCACAGCTAATACATTCCTTGTTGCAAATGCCAAGTATTCTGCACTTGCTTCAGTTTTTCAGATCTTCTCTCTCATATTCAGTACCTGGGGTGAAATCCATGCCTAGTAAAACAGCCCTTTTGTATCCAGGCCAGGATGCATCTCTGAGACTTGAATGCTTTTGCTTTCTCTCCTGTTTTTTGTTTTGTTTTGTTTTGTTTTGTTTTGGTTTTGTTTTGTTTTGTTTCTCTTCTCTGCCTGATCAATACTTTCCCATCTGAAGAAGCAAAACATTCTCTCTCTTCTGTTTCCCTTGCTGCTGATTCTGGCTCAAGGGGATGGGGGCAGGAGTGGAGGAAAGAGGGTCAGAGTCTATATTTAACCACAAAGATAATTCCTCCTTGACAGCAGCTCCAGAGAGAATTTGACATTTGAGGGGACTGAGTAGCAAGAGTAATTTGCATTTATCTGGCTATAGAAACAGAAGAGATTGGGAGCAACAAGTGATCTGTGGAGGTAAAAATGAGTCAGGGGTTTGGAAGAGGGAATATAGGGCAGGTGAAGAAGAAGAAATTATTTGCCAACAATGATGGAAGGATAAAGAACAAGACTCCTGAAACTATTTCCTTAAATGTCACACTAAAGCAACTCCAAGAGGATTGTAATAGCTTTGGAGTGGGACAAGTGGCACAGATGGGAAGGCTGACATGTCCCGGCTGCTTAAATACTCTGAATTCTAGATCTGCATTTATCAAAATTTAATGTACACCCGAATTGCCCTGGATCTTGAATAAAATGCATATATTAATTCAGTAGGTTGGGGTGGGCCCCAAGATTTTGTATTTTTAGCAAGCTTCCAAATGAAGCTGATGTTGGTCCTGGGACCACACTTTGATTAGCAAAGCTCTGCTAGAGCGTTTTGGGAGTCCACAGGCAAAGAAAAGCAAGGCAAGGTGAGCAGACAACCATCTCCCCTTCTCCCTTCTCTATTTATAGTTCTCTCTGCTTTTAAAGCCTCATTTTGTATTTTCCTCTTTACTTGTCTTTCCCCATCTACACTCAAGCACTTGGAGAATTTGGATTGTGTTTTGTCGATCTTTGCATATAAGGCTTTGTCCGGAGTGGGCACTTCATAAATATTAAAGTTGTACTTTAAAACATCCCTCTTTCTCCATGAAGCTTTGCCAGATCATTCCAGCCCTACAGCACTTGTTATCTGTATCATTCATTTGGCAATTAATCTTAGACAGCCTTATGACAGTTTACGTATTGTTGTACTGGACTGTTATATATCTTTTGAATTGCTATTTATTTTTTAGCCCTTTATGTATTGACTCTGCTGCTAGGTTGTAAATAAGTTCTTTGAGTTGAGGGACTGCATTTTTATTTATTCATCAATCATTTAGTTTGTACCTACCTGTGCAAGGCAGTGTGCTAGGGTCTTGGTACACAAAGATAAATAAGGTAGGGTCACTGAGAGACAGCATGGTATAATGAGAAGGGTTCAGCTCTCAGCCAGAAACAACTAGGCTTGAATCCCAGCTCTGCTACTAACTAGCTGTATGACCTTAAAAAAGAAAAACACACCACGACCTCGACCTTTACAGCTGTAAAATGGGTTAAACACATTAATCTTGTAGAATTGTGGTGAGATTAGCTAAATGACATATATAACAGTTCCTGTAATAAGGATCTGGTGGGCACTTTGAAAAAATAATTCCCTGCCCTTCGGAAAGTTATCACCAAGTAGTTTATAAAAAATGACAAATATACAAATAGCCAAAGCACCAGAGAGACTATTTTAGTGGGGTCCTTCTTTATAACTCCCCCAGGTCTAGCTGGGAAGGGCTTAATAAATGCCTGTTGCTTGATTGAACACAACCATAGTATCTACTACCATAAAGGTGCTTGGAGAGAGTTAATTGGATTCAATTTTATTTATTAATTTTAATTATTTGAAACTTACTATATTGACTCCTCCTATGATCAGGCCATGGACTAGGCTCTATAAAAGCATAAGGATCTCTCAGTTCTTTGCTTCATGGAGCTTGTAGGAAGAACTCTGCTTACAAAAAAAATGCTGTCACTAAAGAATGGATGACATAAACAAGAACCAGAAGTGCAAATAAAAACATAAGCTGAGAAGAGGAAGGAATATATCAATTCTGACAGTGGTAATAGGGAGGAGGAGGTGGCCTCTGAGCAAAAGGGGAACCCAAGGAACAGTGCAGGTGAGGGGCCAGTTAGGAGGGCTTGGGGAAAGTTCGAGTTGGTGGAAGGCAGCCTATAGCTGTCTTCTAGGCCGTGAAGAAGCCGACTAGATGGCAATACCCTAGATGCTGCTGGGGGACTCCAGGCATGGCCTCCTTTGCTCTGACACCCTCACTATTAAGAATAATCTCTCCTTTGGTCCAGATGAGAAGCCTGAGGCAGAATCTAGGAGATGGCTGCCCACATGGTAGAGATAAGGCAGGGCTAATATTTGGTATACCTGTCTGCCAACCTGTGGATTAGGTGGGATCCAGACTTTCTTCCATTTTGAAATAACTAAAAGGAAGAAGACCTTGGAAGCAGAAGAGCAGAAAGTTCTTTTTGGCTCCTGGGCCAGATTATTGTCCCTACTCATCTACTTGGAGCAAGGATAAATATTGCTTCCACCCTAGTCTTCATGTTTTTCCCTGAGCCTGCGCTGAAAATATGACTTTAGTGACTATGGCCTCTGGTTTGAACCAATCCAGGAATTTCTGGCAATGACAGCTATCAGCAGGCAGTGAGCCCAAAGAGGTTAAAAAGTTAAGTCTGTCTGACTCATCATGGTGCTGAATTCTTAGCTTCAACGGAGTCCTGGTTCTTTACTCCTGCCCTTGGAATCTGCTAGAGTAAATGTCGGCCTGACATATGGTTCACATTTCTGCCATGCCCAGAGATGTCACGTGGGAGCAGCTCTTGATGGTTTCAGGGTACCAGGCCATATTTGCTGCACCCTTAATGGTGCTACCTGTCTTGCAAAAATCCTGTGGATTATTCTATAATCCAGAAAAGCCATTCAGAGGGATTTTACTTAATTTAACCTAAATGAGAGATACTTTTAAGAGCTGTGTAGGTTTGTCCAATCACACCTAGAAATTAACAGTTTTCATACTTCTAGCTTCCTTCTCACAGCAAACAATCATGGGTTATCAAACCATAAATCAGCAGTTAATGGATTTTTTATCTATGTGCTTTGGCCTTTGGTATGGTTTTTAATTTTCTTTTAATTTGTATCAGTCTCAGTCCTGCTTCTTCAATTTTTCCAGCATCTTCAGGTTAGAGGATGCTGCAGTGATGCCCTGCTCCTAGGTGATCTGCAGGAAGGAAGGATGCATGCCCATACCTTCACAATCAAACACAATTTTCCACAATTGAATAGCACAGGCTGGGAAGAGGAAAATACAGTCATGTGCCATCAATATTTCAGTCAATGACAGACTGCGTATAAGACAGTGGTCCCATAAAATACTACCATATTTTTACTGTACATTATTTTTTTCTCCCCCAAGATGGAGTCTTGCTCCATTGCCCAGACTGGAGTGCAGCGGTGTGATCTCGGCTCACTGCAACCTCCACCTCCTGGGTTCAAGCAATTCTCCTGCCTCAGCCTCCCGAGTAGCTGGGACTACAGGCATGTGCCACCATACCTGGCTAATTTTTGTATTTTTAGTAGAGACGGGTTTTCACCATGTTGGCCAGGCTGGTCTCAAATTCCTGACCTCATGATCTGCCCACCTCGGTCTCCCAAAGTGCTGGGATAACAGGTGTACCTTTTCTATGTTTATATACACTTAGATACATGAATACTTACCGTTGTGTTACAGTTGCCTACAGTATCCAGTAGAGTAACATGCTGTATAGATTTATAGCCTAGGAGCATAGGCTATGCCACACAGCCTACGTGTGTAGTAGGCTCTGCCATCTAGGTTTGTGGGCATACACTCTATGATGTTCACATAACAATGAAATCACCTAACAATGCATTTCTCAGAACACATCCCTGTAATTAAGTGAGCAAGTACTGTATATGTGTGTTTAGAGTTGGGGTAGGAGGAGAAGGCTGAGAGCAGGATGGATTCCCTCATGAAAGCTCTGCATGGGAAGAATCTGTCTTGCAGTTCATATGACTTCAGCCTCCAGAGAAGAAGGCTGGGTGAGCAGTTAGAAACATAAAAATTAGAGCTGGGGAAGCCTTCTGATTAAAATGGGCAGCCAGGTGACCTGAGTGTTGCATCAACTGAAAAATTCATATCCAGTACCAGGCCTGTTAAAGACCAAGGGTGGAAATTAACCTCTCTTAGCACAATGATTAAGCTGCTGTCAATAGAGCCCTTTTCCACTAGTGCTAAAAACTTACTGATTTTTCTTTTCTTTAATTGGATTAAAATGAAGGCAACCCAAGACCTCAGGGGAAAGAAAGCTGAGCAGAAACCATACTCTCTAGGGGCTCCAGACTCTGCCAACTGTGTTGCTCCAGGTGTGAGAGAGCTTTGTGTGCCTTTGATGCCTGGACTGAGCAAGCCAGCTATGTGGCTTAATTATCACAAGGCAAACTGCTAGGATAGGGTCTGCAGTGGACTTGCTTCAGATACTACAGACTTCCAGAGCCAGAAAGAGAAGTGAAGCACGTTGTTTAGCCTACAAGTGGTTTTAATCTGTTGCTGTCTTGAGACATTAGGGACCTCTGGCTGGTGGTGAGCACCTGCCTGCATTTGTCTTCTGGGTGGATTCAGACCATCCAGTATACCTCTCCTGTTTCTGCAAAGATCTATAACTTGCTCTCATTATCCTGAGATGCATAAGGATAGATAAATAATGGGGGTGATGAACGCCCTGGGGTAATGGTCCTGAAGTGGATTCCCAGGGCCAGTGTGAACCTGCACAGTGTCTTTGGGTGAATCAGAAAAAGGGTGTCCCTCTGGGCAGTGATAGTCACTCAGCCGCACTAAGTGGCCAGATAAAATGTTGATGCCAAGAAAAGAGTGGCCCTTTCTGGGAAAAGAGATGGAGGAGGGGGGATCAGACACAGCCCTTATGGTTCACAGCTTGATAAACAGAATGCGGACTGGACTTCAGCCATCCCTCCCCACCTCAGCAAGATGCATCGGGACAGGGCAAAAATCTGCATAACCATCAGTAGTGGCCCTGGTGACAACTTGTGAAGCAAGGGAGCAGTGAGATATCTCAAGGCATCGGACTGTGTGGAGGAGGAGGAGCCCTTTACTTCTGTAGGACTTTCCTAGCAGATTCTATAGGATTTTGCTAGCTCCGGGCTCAGCTAAACAAATGTTGGTGAAATAGGAACACAGGACTTTTGAACCAAAGCAGATCTGAAGCAGCAGGCCAGGAACTGGTGCAAAGGGAAGGAAATGATGTCTGCTTCCCAGGTATATGCTCTGATCAGCACCACTCATCTTTCCCTGTGAGTTGGTGCCTCAGTCTTCCCCACAGCCCCAATGTAGTATATTCGGAAAGACGGCTGTAACATCCCCAACATTTTTGCAGCAGATGGAGTCAGGACGCACTCTTGCACTTCACACACAGATAATGGTGCACACCCCAGGTGCCTCACATTCTTCCTTTCTTTGAGGTTGTGTGCTTTTTGATGTCTTGGTTCCCAGCCACAATGGGTTTTAAAGGGATTTGGGAGGAATACATGGGAAGAAAAATTATTTCCACGTGAGTTGAACAATTGAGAGGAATTTCTGAACCAGACAATGACCATAGAGCAAGAAAAAAAATCTGTTGGGGGTGATTTGAAAGTAATACTAGACCCACATATATCTACACTTAGATGGGAAGAAAAAGTGCTTTCTTTTCCCTGTCTCCATTTTTCTCTCTCCCTCTCTGTCTCTCTCAAATGATAATCCTATTGCCGGAATAGAAACTAATTGTTTTCTTCTTCCTAAGTATTTTTCCTTCCTGAATACTGCCTCTTCTTTAATATCCTAAAAAAGCATTACCATGTGAATAGGTTCCAGCCAGCACAATCAAGAGCCTTTTCTGGGGTTTGCCAGATGCTTTTAACAGACACCATACTTGCAAGCATCCGTGAAACATTTAAAACTGTTTGTTCATCCTCATCCACCCCCACCCATCTGCATGGTTCTTTTCTTCTGTAGGAATACAAGTCTTACCCTGGGTTCCAGATTCTGGGAGTCCCCACAAACCCTCTTCAGTGCCTTCTTGAGCTGTGCCTGTTATGATATGGCCAGCAAGATAAGAATAGTTTTTTAAATGGTTGGATACAAACCAAAAGAAGAAGACACATACTAATTATATGAAATTCAGATTTCACGGGTAGAGTGGAGTAATTGCACAGAGATGGTATGGCCAATACAGCCCTAATTATTTGCTCTCTGGCCTTTTACAGAGAAAAGTTCCCTAAATCCTGAGCTTCTTAACTGAGCTTCCAGTCACTGAGGAAGAACTCAGCCAGAATTGTTTTCTAGGCTAGGCCCGTCCAGGGAAGGCAATACACTAGAGATAAGAATTCAAAGGGAGACTCGTGTTGAGGGCTCTGGATTGAGATGAGCATAGATATTTTTGCGTGGAGATTTTGGAAGTGCAGTGTTCATACGCACATGACGCTATGCAATTTTTCACCATACACAAATGCACATGCACACACACACACACACACACATACACACAAATCAGGAAGTCAGAGTCTTCTATTCATGGGGCTGTGGTTGCATCACCCCCTTAGGTCAGGTTGTCAAAGGAGCCAACGGTCAGGTTGGCTCAAAGGAGCCCCTTAGGTCAGGTTGTCAAAGGAGCCAACGGCAATGTGGCTGGTCTGGATGGAGGATTCTAGGACTCTGCTGTTGATCAGTTTACTCCTGATAACTGAAATATTCAGGGGCATTGGGCTCTTATAAGTGAAACAAAACCCATGAGGAAAATAGTTTAGTCCTTCTGCAAGTATCTTGTTATCTGTCCTATCTCTGCTTAATTCCAAATCTAACCTCTCTGCTGATTGGACACTCCAGAGGAAACTGAGCTTTTGGCAGCTAAGTGTAGATCTATGCCTGACTCCTCAGGTTCTCAATGCAACACTTTAACCTGGGGGTGGCTTGTAAGCAATTAAAAAAATATAAATCTGATTCCTAGACCTCATACTCAGGAGAATGTGATCTGTGGGCCTGGGATGGAATGGAGACTAGTTATTTGCATTTTCAAAAGCACCCCAGGTGATCCTGATACACACTAAAGACTAAAAGCTGCCTTTCTCTTCTTCCTCACAGGTGTCAATTGGCAGCATTTCCACCTCAAAAAAATTCAGAGGAAACACACCCCTGCTCCATTTTTCCTCATACCCACCTATTGTCCTTCAGTTCTGTTCAGTTGGTTCATTAACTCTGCCTGGAGAGCCTGCTATGTGCCAGACACTGCACTAGGCTGCATGAGTACCAAAGCAGGTTAGACAGGGAGGCAGGGGTAGGAGATATACATGCCTCAGGAGGTCATTCTCCCCCTGCAGGGTGACCAGTGCTCTGATGGGTTGCCAAAGGTGCTGTGACTCACAAAAGAGCAGGGGCATGCTCCTCAACCTGCACTCACCTGGGCAGGTTCTCTGGACTTCTCTATATCTGTGCCACCACCTTGCCCCTTTGCCTGGGCTGCCAGCTTCCCTGTGGCTGGGTCTGCAAGAACATTCATAATTGCAGGAAGGAGGGAAGCTTTGGTGGGAGTGTTTGGCCCTTCTGTTGAACTAAGAGTCCTCTTTTCCTCTCTCTGCAACTCATCGCAGGGGCTGGAAGGAACAATGAAGTTTGCACTCAGCTGTCGATTCAGCTGATGATGCAGGAGGCTGGGAACGAGGTGCTGGGGCAGCCTTCCATGGACAGCTATATTGGCCCCACGGCGCTCAGCTTAGAGATAATACAAACTTTGTTCTTTTCTTTACTCTTTTTGTTATCAGTAAACAAAGCAGATCCGCTGCTGGGGTGACACTGAGGGATGAGATGCACAGTGACAAGGTGCCTGAATATATATTTTTCTGAACTATGATGAATTTTTTTCAACAGAGTCAGTATTCTGACCACTGTCCCCCGCTGACACTTTTATTATCTGTAGCTCAATTTCATGGAGCAGATTTGGTTTTCTTCTCCAATCCTAAGATTCTTTTTAAAACAAATCAGCTTCACTCTCTGGTGGTGGCTTTGTTTGTCCTTTTCTTTTTCTGGGATGACATTTTTTGAGGACTGAATATTTGTAGCTCTGTGTGGAATAAAAGCATTCATTTTCTCCAAGAAGCCTCTTTTTTCACCCCCTCTTGTTGCCAAAGAAGCAGGGCTGGACAGTGAGACCAATGATAATAATAAAAGATAATATTTATTGAATGCTAACTCTGTAACAGGCACCTTTCATTTGGCTCTATACCCATGATGGCTTCTACTCCTCACAACAGCCCCATGAAGTAAGTGCTAGTATTACTCTCATATTACAGAGAAAGAAATGCAGGCTCAAAGAGATTTTGAAAGTCATTTGCCCCACATCGCAAGTTCATAAGTTGCAGAGTCAGGATTTAAACTCAGGCTCAGTCTGGCTACAGAGCCTGGGTTCTTATCCATCACACAATGCTAGGTTACTCTGGACACAGTCTTGGCTCTCACATATGCATAGCATTCCTTAACTCCCTGGATACTGAAAGTGGCTAATCCGGAAGAGGAGAGAAGGGAAGCTGTTCTTTTGAGTTTCTTATGTCATTGCTTTCCCCGGACTTAGTGGTGTAAGTAATTTGGGATTGAACATGGGGATAAGAGCACACCACACAGTTCAAAATGAAGGTACTGATGTTCCCTTCTCAAGGAGCTGGGGCCCTCATTTTTGCTCGGTGTGTTATAATTATAGCCCCACTGGCTGCAGTCTATTTAGTTAAGACGGAAATGTGAGTTTAATAAACATTTCAAAGTGACTTTATTGGCTGTACATTCTTGATGATGGCGCATCAAGAGAAAGAAGATTTTACCAACATAAAGATATTCAACCTCACTGAATCCATGGCTATGATCAATTCACTGTGAGTTTTCACCTAGAATTAAAAACTGTGGATTATCAAGGTGAGGGTGAGGATAAAGATATAGAATAACATATCAGAGATTCCAATAAGTAGCCAAGAATATTTCATCAATTTTTCCAAGGGGATTTCTCTTTCTCTCTCGTTCTATTCTAGCCTTTCCTCACTCCTCATTCACATCGTATCAAATTACATCCTGGAAATGGCTTGCCTGTCCCTGCTGCCTGAGCTTACTAAAGGTAATGCTGAGCTGCCTGGCATGAGCTACCCCATAATCTAGTGTGGAGTTTTGTCAATGTTCAGATCACAGAAGCAAAGGAAAGAAGAGGAACAAATCTACCTATGCACCTTATGGGACTCATCTAAATGGCACTTCCTCCACCTAAAGCCCCTAGCCTCATTTTCCCCTACTCATCCATTCATTCACTCACCAAATATTTATTCAGTTCAACAAATATATACTGGGCATCTAATGTAGGCCAGGTGCTGTGCTAGGCATACACAATAGGGAAGAAGTAGAATAGCCCCTGCTGTCCACATGAGCATAGTTAAGTGGAGGAGGCAAACAATAAAATAAGTGCAATGATTGCATGTGGCTGGGATACACGGAACACTTTGGGAACTCCTGGTGGGAAAGTGAATGTGTCGATATGGTACCCCAGGTAGAAGGAACTGTCTGTTGGGTTTTTGTGTTACTTGCAGCCTGTAGCACCCTACCTGAAGAAGCATGCTTGAGAAGTCACTACATATACGCCACACTTCTACTTCACTGGCTATGTTCCTGTACATTCTGCAAGCATAGATATCTTCTTAACAGCTCTACCTATAGTCTTACACACTGTATGAGAACTACCTCAAATGTCCCCTCCCTTCATCCAAACCAACATGCTTCTCCTTCCCATATGACTTTATGCCCATTTTGGAAGGCAATGGTCACATTTTCCCTAGTATCATAATTACTTCTGTGCTTATCTGATTCCTCCTACTGAACTGGAGGCTCTTTGACCCTAGGCACAGTGTCTTATGCTTCTGTACAAACCCTGCAGTGCTTTCACAGTGTCTGACCTCAGTAAATACTAAGTGATGAATGGATGAATGAATGGATGCAATGCAATGGGGATCTGGGGAGAAGTGAGATGCAAACAAAGGAGAAGGTGAGATCTAGTGAAATGTGAAGTGAAAGGGAGATCCAGCTAGGCAGAGAAAGTATATGGCCTGAGAACCACTGATGTCAGGGCATGAGGAATCACCAAGTTGGAAAAGCCATATTGCTTGGCATCTCAGGTTAGGGCTGACAGTACCATGTTGGTTAGGAGTTGACAGCTGAGGATAAGAAACTCGGAAGCTAAAAAATAACAAGCACAGAGATAAATTTATATATATACATTTATAGTTCATCTCAAATAATGTCTTTCTACCTTAATAATGCAGGAGAGAAAGCCACACTCTGAAGTCAGGGATGGCAGTGTGGCATGTACCTAACAGGTGAGATTCAGCATCATGGAATGATTACTTGCTGTTAAGTTACTCTTAGCTAGGGCTTGAGAACCTATGATACCACCTTGCAACAGCTGTCCGGACCTCAGAACAGCCCCTAGTTGATGCTAAAGTGGCTTTTGAGATCCAAGAATGTGCGGGAGCTGCAAATAAAGTGGTAAAATATATTTGCAACTGAACACATTTAAGAACTTCTTGTGACATTCAAGGCTGTAGGGGAGTGGGCCAGACATGCCCCAAGGGTAGATGTGGAAGAGGCTGCTTTTGAGATCTGCAAATGAAAAGATGAGGAAGTGAGCAGTTCAAGTTTTATTTTGGGTGAAGAAATGAAAAAGTGAAACTTATTATTCCAGGGCTGGAAACAGAAGAGAGGCACCAGGCATGTTAGTATTGAGAAACTAACTTTTGTCTAGTTGGCTAGACTGGATCCTTTTATTCTGTGTAGACGAGAAAGTTTATTTACATTTTTCTTTACTTCTATCATTTATTCCTTCATTTTTCCTCTTTCTTTCCTCTTCTTTGTCGAGAAATGGGGCTTCTACATCTGTGAAGCAAAGTAATGGCTTCAAATTGATAAATGTGTGGCCTAGTCAATTCATGTCCACGTCCCCTTTTAAGAAAGTGAAGACTCGGCTTGTAGGTAGAAGAACCAGTGTGAACTGTGGGAGTGGGCTAGGGGGTGTCCGTTTCTCAGGTGAGAACTCAAATCAAGCCTTCAGTAACACTCGTAGCTCCTGTTCTGTTTTTGTGATGCATTCGGTTATTTATGGCACATTTCTATGTCTCTGCTGGACTGACAGTCATCCAGATAGACAGACCTGATGGAAGAACACAGGAAATGCTTGCTGAGTGAAATGAGTCAGATGAAAATTAATCACTTTGTGCTCTCTGAGAAAGAACTAGAGTGACAGCCCTCCTCATTGTCTGAAGCTCACAGGACTAGAAGTTGAGAGTCAAGTTCAAGTCTAACTGTGGCCCTATCCAGAGCATGCTGCTTCTCCTTTCTAGCCTTCTTTTTTTTTTCGTCTCTAAAGACAATGGACTGAATAATCCCTAAAATCCCTTCCAGACATTTCACTCTGTTTTTCTATGCTTCTTTACTGTGCATTTCTAAGCTTGTGAAGCAAGAAAGAGAACAGGCAACACTAGAACCCTCAGAGCTGGGCATGTTTCCTCCAGGAAGCCTGGGTCCTGCAGATGATGCCTGGAGAGCTCACAGGCCCTGGATATTCTGGGCCACAAAGATGGGCTCAGCTGGCCCTGGGCCCAGACTGAGTTTAGGCGCAGTATGGATTTTTTATAAAGAGAAAAGTTTTGTTTGATAAGCGTACACAAAACTCAGGGTTGCTGAGTGAAGCTGACTGTGTGCTGATTCCCTGTAGCCATGTGGAAAACACAAGTCAAGTGTGAGTCATACATCAACTTATTTCGTGATTCTTAAGTTGCAAGGTGTTTTGTTTTATTTTTATTTTATTTTTTATTTTTATTTTTGCCTTGTTTAGAAAACTGGCCCTTTCTCCTCTAAATGCCTCTTCCAATCTGCTGCCTTTGCCCATTATAACTACGTCTAGAGGATGCCTCTGGACATGCTATGGTCACTGCTTTGGTCCCACCAAACTCCTTTTCCTTCCCACTCCCAGCTTACCCTGCCTCTCTTTTCCTGAAACCCTCGTCCTCCCAAGTTTTATGGAAATCAATCTTAAAGGAATGCTGCTCATTTGATTCACTCTAGTTCTCATTAGACCTGCTATCTGATTTCATAATGTTCCGGGTTTGTGAGCCAGTGCCATTTTTTGACTGTATTTTGTTTGAGTTTTATAGGAAGCACACACACAGACACGAATATCAAGCAACTGATACTATGCTTGTTTTAAGTACCAATGTAAAGTCACAACTAAAACCTAAACTTGCCCTTCTCCTGAACTATGCCTACTGATCCAGCTCTACAATGTGCTCTGGAAGGGGCCCTGGGACAGCCATCTCCTGTCCCTCCAATGTTCTATCGAGCCCAGAAACCCACATGTAACCCCTGCCACCCTGCACGGGAGGGGAGAAAGCTTATCTGAACACTAAATTCATTATACTCAAAGGCAACATTTGTCCAAAAGCCAAAAAGAGCAAATGGAACAAAATAACAACTAGTGTCTGTGTATCACTGTGTAATTTGCAAACCACTTTCCCACAGGCTCTCAGAGGCATTACCCCTGCCCTTTGAGAATATGTAGACTATCTCCATCGTGTGGGTGAGAAAACAGGCCACAAAAGTTTAACTTACTTTTCCAAGGTTTTCTCATTATTAAATGGCAAATTCAGGCTTTAATCCCAGGTTTGCCTCCTATAGATTCCACGGAAATTTCATGGCGAGGAAATGATGTCCACAGTAGATGAATATAGGCTGTAGGACAGACTAAGTATTTTTACTGCATTTAAAAAATAAGTTGTGCCAATTTTGTTTTATTAGTTTCAAGGTAAAACAGCAATTTTTTCAAACATCAGAAAATATGTGTTCTTTTCTATATGCTTAGATAAAGGTTCAGCTGAATCACCAGATCTGACTGCCAATTTATGTGGCTATGAATTTTTTATATACTTTTTTTTAGATCAGTTTTAGGTTCACAGAAAAATAAGCAAAAGATACAGAGATTTTCCATGTGTTCGCCACCCCCACACAAGCCTAGCCTCCTCCATTATCAACATTCCCCACCAGAGAGGTACATCCAAAAGTCCACAGTTTACATTAGAGTCCACTCTTGGTTTTACTGAGTTTATTAGACTGGGTTTTAGTATTCCTTAGGGCTTGGTAATTCTAAGACGTCTACTATGATTGGTCACTAAAGACCACAAAATATCATGAGCATTGTTTTATTCATGCATTAAACAAACACTTTTAAAATCCATGTTGAGTTCAAGGTCTCGTGCTAGTTGTCATTGTACCAAGACCTGCCCCCTTGCCCCTCAACACACACTGTAATCAAACATGTACCACTCCATCCCCAATCTGCCTGTGTCATGACCAAAGCCTGAGCACTGTCTTCATAAACCCTCTCCAAGTCACTGCCAAAGAGTTCTCTGTCAAAGGCTACCATGAAGTAGTTTAAAGGGCTTTTGGGACTCCTGGATAAAGCCAATTCAAAAGAGACTCTGGCAGTAGGTGGTACCACTACCTTCCTAAGAACCCCTGGCACCCCACCTCTCTCCCTGGATGCACCACTCTTAGCTTTTATTATCTACAAACTAGGGTACTTTATTTCCCCTCAGCCTGTTTCATAAATCCAAAGCCATTCTATGAGCTGCAATACTAGTTGGTGGATTAAAACTACAATCTGGACTGGCAAGCTGCTAGTCAGTAACGTGCTTTGGGAGCAGGAAGGCTGGTGGAGGGGGGTGAGAGTAGAGGGAGGGAAGGAGATGGGATGGGGAGGACAGTGCTGTCCAGTCCTGCATTGTGCCACAAGAAAGGTAGAAGACAAGGCCATTGTGTTTGCTCAGTGGCTTTTCTTTGGTTTTGTTCTTTTCTCCAGTGTCTGACAGCACGTGGGCAGGGGACTTGTTTCATTGTTTAGGTTCTCTCTTCTCTCTGTGTTGTCAACGGCACCCATCTACAAAGAGACAGCCAAGGAATAGTTTGTTTGTTAAGAAAATAAAAAGGAAAATTCTTTTGTTTCCTGTTTCTGTGCAGCTTGGAAACAGCCCTCACAAAGAAAGATTTTCAAAGAAATGCTTCATCATTCAGAGACAGGTCAGTCCATTTATTTCTGACCCCATCAACCTTCTGATCTAGGCTTCTTCCCAGTGCTTCTTGCCCACCACCAAGAAGAGCCACCTAAAACCTGGGCTCTAAAAAAAAACTGTAGACAGACCTCCTAACAAGATGGGCTACTGCCTGGCACCACCATAATTTATTTATTGATTATAATGGGTAGGAACTTGGCTTATTTATGGCAGACTTTTCTGAGTATTTATTGATACTGCTAATTCTTGGCAACCAGAAGGGAGAGTTGGCAGGTTCAGTAATCCAAAGAGTGGCGCTATGAAGCTCCATCCTCAGAATAGCACCAAGGAAGCAAATGATTTGTGGTGCTCAGAAGCAATTGTGAATATTCAACTAGAGTTTAGGCTGAGGTGATTTCCCAAACAAATCATTATAGAGGAAATGTTTAAAGAGAGAGAATGTAGGGAAATAAGGAAAGGTGTTGCTAGATAATATTTACCCCAGCCCTGAGGCCAGGCTGAGTTCATGCAACCCTAAAAATAAAGCAGTTCAGATGGTGAGTTTGGGCCTACTGAATCAGAGGGAATTCTGTGATTTGGATGTCACATCATATTTACAAGGCTTGTCCCTGTGGTGCCATTCACTATATGGAATTTTTAATTTAAAAATTAAGAAATAAATTATTAACATAGACTCTGACACATGGGTGGTAGCAACCATCCAGGTTGGCATATTAATGTCTGCAACTGTTGGTTGCTGGACTATAACACCTATTGGCAAAGTTTGGGATTACATCTCATCACAGACCACTTATTATTCGTGCAGTCAGTATAGTTCCTCAATAGTTATTAAGCGCTTATTGTGTGCCCAGCATTCTTCTAAGCTCTGGGGTTACAGTGGTAAAGAAAGACTGACACATTTTTTGTCCTATGAACAGAAAACATATTGAGGTGAGACAGATAGATATAATCAAATAAATATATAAGACTATTTCAGATAGTAGTAAGTGCTATGAAAATTAACAAAATTTAGTAATGTAATAGAAAACAGAGCTACAGGGCCAACGGTGGGACTGCTTTACTTGGGGTAGTTATGCAAGATCCGACATTGGGATGAACCCAGAATGAGAAAGAGTGAACTATACAGAAACCTAAAGGATCAACATTTCAGGAAGAGAAGATGTCAGGTACAAAAGGCATGAGATGGGAACCTGTCTTAGTCCATTCTGTGCTGCCGTAACAGAATACTACAGACTGGTTAATATATAATGAATAGAAATTTGTTTCTCCCAGTTCTGGAGGCTGGGAAGTCTAAGGTCAGACACCAGCATGTTCATTGGTGAGGGTCTGGCCTCTGTTTCCAAGATGGCACCTTGAATGTTGCAGTCTCTGTGCTGGGGCGGGGGATGCTGTGTCCTTACATGGCTGAAGGAAGAAGGGAAAAGGGTACAAACTGCACTCCCTCTCTCAAGCTTTTTTTAGAAGAGCACCTAATCCCATTCATGAGGAAGGAGCCCTCATTGCCTAATCACCTCTTAAAGGTTACATTTCTTAATATTATTACATTGGCAACACAAGATTTTGGAGAGGACACATTCAAACCATAGCAGAACTCATTTTATGTGTTTGGGAAACAGAAAGAAGGTTAGTAACACTAAGAGTAGAGAGTCTGGGAGAGCATGGCAGAAGACAAGATCAGAGAAGAGTATGTAGGAAGCCCACCATGGTATTGTGTGCCTACAGTCCCAGTTCATGGGAGGCTGAGGTGGAGGATCCCTTGAGGCCAGAAGTTCAAGGCTGCAGTGCTTTTCAACTGCATCTGTGAATAGCCACTGCATTCCAACCTGGGCAACAGAGCGAGACTGTCATTTGGGGTTTTCAAAAGAAGTACATAGTAAAATTAGGATTAGAAGTTTGGATTTTATTTTAAATGTCCTAAAAAAACTAGATGGCTTTCAGAAAGAAAGTGATAAGATATTATTTCAGGTTTCAGATGATCATCCTGGCTGCTATGTGGAACATATAAGCAAGGAACACCAGCCGGAGGCTGAGCAATTATCCAGGCAAGAAGTTATGGTGGCACTGGTTATGACGGCATTTATTTTTTTGTATAGAGGTAGAGATGGAAGAAAGAGGTCAAATTTGAAATATATAAGAGGACAGTTTTAAGAATTTCTAAGTATAGAATCACAACACATTGCTTTATACTTTAGATTTGCAAAATTAATATTTGAACTAAGTATTTTACTAATACCTAGTAAATACTTAGCACTAGACTCAACTGTCTCCTTCCAAAACCCCTCCAACCCATTCTAAATTTCTCTAAAAACTAAGTACCTATTACCAATAGCATAGAAATTAAGAGGCTCAATTCAACTATCAAATGAGCCTGTTTTCAAATTTTTATTATACCAGTTAGCAGTCCTGAGGTCTTTGGCAAGTTATTAAATTTCCTGAGCCTCAATTTTATCAACTGAAAATGGAGATAATAATAGGAACCACCTCACAATTGTTTTGGGGCCTAACTCACATAGTGTATATACATAGCCTGCCTGTAGACACATAACAAATTCTCAATACACATTAACTAGCATTCTTCTTAAAACTTCTTCCAGGTGGAAGTAGATGCCTTATCATTACAGTCTAATCTATAAGACACGTAAATGTCTTGCCGGACTTGCATATTCACAGAGCAACGTTGAAATTTTTAAATTGCCAAAAGCGTAGCTTTTATTTTTTTCATTTTTAATTGATGTATAAATAACACACATAAACTGCATGTATTCAAAATTTACAATTCAATTTTTTTGTATAAATATATAACTGTGAAACCATCACCATGATTGAGATGATGAACATGTTCACTGTCTCCAAAAGTTTCCTTTTGTGGCACCTCTCTGTCCCTCTCTGCAGCCCTGACACTAGCCCCTAGGCAACCACTGATCTTTCTGTCACTCTTGATTGGTTTCCATGTCCTAGAATTTTATGTAAATGAAGTCATACAGTTTGCACAGTTTTTGTTGTTCTGGCTTCATTCACACAGTCATGCATTCCTTTTAATTGCTGAGCAGTGTTCCATTGCATGGATGCGCTACAGTTTGTTTATAACCGCTGATGGACATTTGGGTTGTTCCTAGTTTTTTATTATTACAAACAAGGCTGCTATGAACATCCATGTATAAATCTTAGTGTCGTGTCTTAGTCTATGCTGCTGTTACAGAACACCTGAGAATGGGTAATTTATAAACAACAGAAATTCATTTCTCACAGTTCTCAAGGCTGAGAAGTCCAAGATAAAGACACCAGCATCTGGTGAAGGCTACTGTCTGTTTCCAAGCTGGAACCTTGAATGCTGTGTCTTCAGGAAGGGAGGAACGCTGTGTCCTCATGTGGAAGAAGGAGGAAGAGTAAAAAGAGGCTAACTTTCCTCTGTCAAGTCCTTTTGTAAGGGCATTAACCTATTCATGAGGCAGACCACTCATGAGCTAAACACCTCCCAAAAGACTCCCCCTCCCAACACTGTTGCATTGTAAATTAAGTTTCTGTGTTTCTTCTTTTTAGAGACAGTGTCTTACTCTGTCACCCAGGCTTGGGTGCAGTGGCACATTCATAGCTCACTGCAGCCTCCAACTCTGGTGCTCAAGTGATCCTTCCACCTTATCCTCCTGAGTAGCTGGGACCACAAGCATGTGTCATCATGCCCAGCTACTTTTAAAATTGTTTTGTAGAAGTAAGGTCCTGCCATGCTGCCCGGGCTGGTCTTGAACTCCTGGCCTCAAGTGATCCTCTCACCTCCATCTCTAACACATGAATTTAGGGGAATACATTTACACCATAGCATGTGGACATATGCTTTCATTTCTCTTGGGTAAATGCCTAGAAGTTAAATAGCTGGATCTTATGGTAAATATATGATTAACTTTTTAAGTAAGTACCAAAATGATACAACTACATTTTCCAAAGTGGTTGTATCATTAAAGTGGTTGTATCATTTTACACTTCCACTAGCAATGTTTGAGAGTTCCACTTGTTGCAGTATTTGGTATGGCTAGTCTTTTTAATTTTAGCCATTCTAATAGGCGTATAGTGGTTTCTCATTGTGCTTTTAATTTGCAGTTTTGTAATGACTAATGATGTTAATTAAGCATCTTTTCATATGTTTACTTCTTTCTTCTCTGAACTCTTAAGATAATTAATTGCCTCTAAGAATTCATTAGCTTCTCTAGGCTATCATAAGTAAATAAAGAATTAAATAGATTATAAATAGGTAGGAAGGTAGGTAGGTAGGTGGATGGATGGATAGCTATATTGATAGGTAGGTAGGTAGGTAGATAGCTACCTAGCTAAATAGCTACCTAGCTAAATAGATAGATAGATAGATAGATAGATAGATAGATAGATGATAGATAGATAGATAGATAGATAGATAGATAGATAGATAGATAGATAGGAATTTGAGTTCCTGTCATGTGCCAGACATGATTTTA
Organism: Homo sapiens; assembly: GCF_000001405.40. Taxonomy (NCBI): domain Eukaryota; kingdom Metazoa; phylum Chordata; class Mammalia; order Primates; family Hominidae; genus Homo; species Homo sapiens. The sequence goes on from NC_000001.11 coordinate 208,611,875, forward strand.
GGCAATGAGAATAGAGTGCTGAATGAGACAAAAATTCTGCCCTTATGGAATTTCTATTCACATGACAGAGACAGGCAATAAACAATGTAATAAAATGTTAAATATATATAATTACTATGAAAAAACCCTGAATAGTACACGATGACAGATAGTGAAGGGATGAAGCAGGGATGGAGCAACATTTTAACATGATCTCAGACTGTTACATTTATTACCTGCACCTCCTGTGAGGCCCTGAAGAGCACTGTACAGCACTGTTCTGCAGTACTATGCATCATGGGTTATGCTCAGTGCAGATTTGTTCATTATTTCTAGTCCTCTGTCGCCTTCACAAGGGTGGGGTGTCTTAGTCCATTTGGCTTGCTATAACAAAATACCATAAACTAGGTGGCTTATAAACAACAGACATTTATTTCTGACAGTACTGGAGCCTAGGGAGTCCATGAACAAAGTGCCAACAGATTTGGTGTCTGCTGACGCCCACTTTTTGGTTAATAGGTGGTGTCTTCTAGCTGTGTCTTCATGTGGTGAAAGGACCAGCTAACATTTTGGGGTCTCTTCTATAATGATGTTAATCCCTCATGACCTAATCATCTCCCAGTGGTCCCACTTTCTAACACCATCATTTTGGGAGTTAGGTTTCAACATACGAATTTTGGGAAAACACAAACATTTGACCATAGCAGTGGGGCTCCTCCCATCTGTCTTGTTGCCTGGTGAATCTCTCACATGTGGCTCAGGGTCAAGAACATGGTAGGCATTTGTTTAATAGATATCAATTAGATAAATTAATGGAGGAAGGGAGGAGTGAATGGTTCACAGTAGGAATGTAATGTGCAGGGAGAACTCAGTACCAGAACTGAGGCAAGAATTCAGACTTACCAAGGCCTCTTCTGCCAGCTTCCTCTTCTTGGCAGAATGCCTGTGCCACAGCTCATCCAGACAGTTGTGTCCATTCCTTTTGGTCCAGATGAGATGCAGGTGCTCTCCTGAGTATCTTTGTCTCCACCATAGAATTATTTGATTCTAGGTAACATCAATGGCTCCAAACCCTCTCCTTGTGGCCTTACTATGTGGCATTTACCACACTCTGCATCATGAGTGATGTGGGAATTATGCTTCTTGAGATGAGAAAGAAGCCCAGATCATCAACTTTGTGACCCTCTCGGCCCCATTTCAGTATCAGATACGTAGAAGCTCAGTAAATATTTATTGTATTAAATTGAATCCTAAGTCCCTCTAAATGATTCAAGATGTCAGTGAAATACCCTTCACCATTCCAAAAGGCAGAACAAGAGGAAACATCCTATGTTCCTGAAGCACGACTGATTAGACTTAAGAAAATTTTTTATTTTGGTCCTCTAAGTTGTTTAAACAAACTCATTCATATAATTTATATTTGGCAATTTTTGAAAACAGGAGACATTTTCACTCTGAAATAATTTTGAAGTCTTCCAAAGAAGAGACAGAGGCATGGATGAGATGACCTTTAAAAGTTGTTTGCAATGTGTTCAAGACGTGTCACTTGTTTATCTGTAGGTGACATCCTCAATGAGCTCAAGTTCCAAGCCCATAGAGCTGCATGGGCCACCAGAGTCCTCCGAGGCCCCTGGCAAGCTGCAGATCCTGCCTTCCTGTCTCAAAGTTTACAGCCACTGCAAAGGTCAGGAATTGTGGTCCTCACATGTAAAAGATGAGACAGCCAGGGAGCAGGCAAGTTTGCAACCCAGAGCTCTCTTGAGGAACACGGAGCAAAGCCACCAGCCAAGGCATGTTGTTTCCGTCATAATGTGTGCTGCACAGTGTGGAAGAGTTTTATGGTGGCCCTGGCCTAGAGCTGTAAAGTTTATTTCTGCACATTAGCTAGTCCATTGTCCCCTGCCCCCAATATCTCTTTCATCTTCTTTAGGTAGACTTGTCAGGATCCTCTTTTAAACACAAGCCAACTCGGGTGGGACAGAGTTTGTATATCAGCACCTTAATAAATGATCTTCTTTTAAATACAAACCAACTGGGGCAGGGCTGCTTGTATATCAGAACCTTAAAGAAGGCACTAATGTGGCACCCATGGCATCCTAGCCTGTCTTCCTCATTATATGCTGTACTATGAGAATCTAAATAATCTCAGTCTCTCCTGCCTGTGCACTGACTCTGAGGATGCAGTGAACTAACAATAGGTAGAATCATTGCAGACAAAAAGTAGCATCTTTGCATTGCATGGTGTGTTTGGGGAAAATGAAGAATTGTATCTGTGTTCACATTTTTACTTCTACAAAAAGCTGTGTTTCTCCCCAGGCCATGATCCCTGAATCCAAAGAAAAATATTTTAATGCAATTGGGAAGTAAGGAGGAGAGAAGAAAAAATGTGGTGCAATATTCTCATCCAGAAGATGGGGATAAAATATCATCATCTTTATGGGTATTTTGATGATTAAATTGTAAGATCCACATAAAGAGCTCAACACAGAAACTGGTACCTGGAAAGTGATCAATAAATGTTACATAGAATTATTATCTGCTATAACTGTTATGCCCAACTTTCTGGGAAGTTCACTGGACATGGAGGGAGGGAGAGGGAGATGAAAGGGTAGGAATAAAAATAATACAAGTGAGAACACATTTCTTGCTGAGAGGCAAGGTAATGTAGCAGAGAAAGTGCTAATGTTGAGTGCTAGACGAGCCTGATATGTTGTGGGAATGAAAGGCAGGTTAAGAGGGAACACTCAATACATGTTGGTTCATTTTTCTTACTTCTATCTTTCACTTAACTGATTTGTTCTCAATAGGAAATACTTTTTGTCTGAAATTACTTCACAATTCTTCCATAACTAGGTTCAAATCCACAACTATTGATTTCTTCTCTCTCTTAAGAGACAGGGCCTCATTCTTTCTCCCAGGTTGGAATGTAGTGGCACAACCCTAGCCTTGAACTCTTCGGCTCAAGTGATCCTCTCAACTCAGCCTCTCAAGTATCTGGGACTAAAGGTACATGCCCACTAGGCTGAGCTAATTTTTTAAATTCTGTTTTTATTTATTTATTTCCACTTTATTCTCCACTTGAGGAGAGGAGAGGGAAAAGGAGAGAGTAGAGATGGATGCTTACTTTGTTGCCCAGGCTGATCTCGAACTCCTGGCCTCAAGTGATCCTCCCGCCTCAGCCTCCCAAATAGATGGGATTACAGACATGAGCCACTGCCCCTGGCCCCTGATTCTCTTTTAATTAGGACAATCCTGGTTTCCAATGCCAGTTGTCCTGTTTACTAAGCATATGGTCTTGCGTATGTGACTTAACCACACAGGGGCTAAATACCTGATACATAAAATAGAGATGCTAACCCCTATACCAGAGGGTTATTAGGATGATCATATAAGATAACACATGGAGCGGGCTTATCATACAGTGGTACTCAATAAATGGTATCATTGGTAGATTTCCCTAAGCATAGCTGGGTTGCAGGAGTGACTGCTAAAACAATTACCTTGGCTAGCATTTATGGGATTTTTACTAGCAAAGAGGAAAAATAATTTGCTTCATCTAAAATCTTGACAAGTGAGCTATAAATGAAAGAAGATGTGTACACCCTAGAGAGGGAAGGCATTCAGCTTCTCTGTGGTCCTACAGAGGTTTGTCTCCATTCCTGAAAATCTTTTTCATTGCCTCTTTTGACATTCCTACCAACTGACTGTATAATACTACAGTTTCTCTCTGGCTTGCTTGTTGCTTCCTATTGAACTCTCTGGGGAATATCATGCCCCACATGCAGATATGTTGTACTCACTCTGGGTCATTAAGTCCTTCCCTCATCAATACCAATGGTGCACAGAAGCAGCTCATGGCAGGTGTTTACTTCTTCTGAGATGTGTTAACCTCAGGTCTTGTTGGACTGGTATTTACCGCAATGGCTCTATTTTGTAGATTAAAAAACCTGAAGCTCATGGGTTAGAAATGAGTAGGTCAAAGCTCTAATGAGGAAATAACATAGAAAGACAATGAATTTCAGGTTGTTCTCAAGCTGCAGTGGATTTTGTTGAGTTTTTTTTCAAGTTATAAAAGCAGTTTGTGTTTATTACTCTAAGACAAACAAAACAGTTCTTATAGGAGCTGGAAAGCAGGTGCCAACCACCAGACCCATAGTACCTGCCTTACTTGGAAGACTAATTACTATTGCAAAAACTACTCTTTATTGTGCTCTAGCTGAATAGAAGGGTTTAACATCTTAATCTCTTAGAATTAAAATCTGCATGATATTCTGGCCCTCATCAACCCGCAGCAAGAAGGCTCGTTAAAACCTGGGCAGAATAGGAGGTGAAGCAAGATGGTGTTAGAGAAGGCTTCACTGATCATTCCCCCAGACAAGGACACCAAGTTAACAGCTATCTACACAGAAAAAAAACACCTTCATAAGAACCAATAAACAGGCGAGCACTCATAGTACCTGGTTTTAACTTCTTAGTGCTGAAAAAGGTAGAAAGGTAGAAAGTGCTGAAAAAGGCACTGAAGAGGTAGAAAGAAACAGTCCTGAGTTGCTGACGCCACCCCTCTCCCACCCCTGGCAGCAGTGGCCTGGTGCAGAGAGCCTCTTTGGGTGCTGGGGCAGGGAGAACCCAGCAATTCTGAGGCATTGAACTCAGTGTTGTCCTGTTAGAGCAGAAAGGAGAACTGGGTCAAACTCAGCTGATGTCTGCCCACAGAGGGTGCATTTAAACCAGCCCTAAACAGAAGCCAGTCATGGATCCCAGCAGTCAGAACTTGTGCCTGCAAATCTCACCACAGAGGGCTACAGTGCTCTGTGACTCCAAGTAAACTTGAAAGGCAGTCTAAACCATAAGGACTGCAATTCTTAGACTAGTCCTAGTGTTGAATTAGGCCCAGAAGCAGTGGACTGGGGTGGGCGTGGTGGGGAGGTGGCGTGGATGCAACCTACTAAGGCACCAGCTGGGGCAGCCAAGGGAGTGCTGGCATCACCCTTCCCCTAACCCCAGGCTCCACAGTTCGTGGCTCCAAAAGAGACCCCCTTCTTCCACTTGAGGAGAGGAGAGGGAAAAGTGGATAGGACTTTGTCTTGCATCTTGGATACCAGCTCATCCACAACAGGATTGGACACCAGTCAAAGTTGTGAGGCCCCCATTCCAGGCCCTAGCTCCTAGACAACATTTCTTAACACACCCTGGGCCAGAAGGGAACCCACTCCCTTGAAAGAAAGGACCAAGTCCTGGGAGCATGCATCACCTGCTAACTGAAGAGCCCTAGGGCCCTAAATAACGAGCAGCAATACCCAGGTACTACATCAAGGGCCTTGGGTCAGCCTCTGAGACTTGCTGGCTTCAAGTGAAACTCAGCCCATTCCCAGCTGTAATGACTATGGGGCAAAACTCCTCCTGCTTGAGAAAAGCAGAGGCAGAAGTAAAGGGGACTTTGTCCTGCACCTTAGATACCAGCACAGCCACAGAGGGGCAAAGCATCAAACAGGCTCTTGGGATTCCTGATTCTAAGACTTGACTCTTGGACAGCATTTCTGGACCTGACTGAAGCCAGCAGGGAGCCCACTGTCCTAGAGGGTGAGTTCCAGGCCAGGCAGCATTCACCATGAGCTGACTGAAGTGCCCCTGGACCTTAAGGAAACATGGGTGGTAGTCCAGCAGTACTCCTTGTGGCCTGGGGTGGTGGTGGCTACAGGGAGAGGCTCCTTTGCCCTTAGAAAGGGGAGGGAAGAGTGGGAAGGACTGTGTCTTATGGTTTGAGTGCCAGCACAGCTGTAATACAGTAACACCAGATAGACCTCTAAGGTCTTTGACTCTAGTCCCTGACTCTTGGATAGCACCTCTGGACCCACCTGGGGCCTGGGGGACCTCACTATCCTGAAAAGAAGAATACAGGCCTGGTTGGCTTTACCACCTGATGATCGCAGAGCCCCAGGGCCTTTAGAGAACATAGGCAGTAGCCAGGGAATGGTTACAGCAGGCCTTGGGCGAGCCCCAGAGCTGTGTTGGATTCAGGTCTGACCCAGCCCAGTTGTATTGCTGGTGGTGCTTGTGTCACTCCACCCCCAGCTTTATGTGGCTCAGAACAGAGAGAACGATTTCATTTGTTTGGGAGAAAGTAAGGAAAGAGAACAAGAGTCTCTGCCCGGTAATCCAGAGAATTCTCCCAGATCTTGTCCAAGACCATCAAGTCAGTACCTCTATGAGTCTGCAAGAATCACAGCATTATTGGGCCTGGGGTGTCTCCTAAAGCAGATACAGCTTAGATCACAACACCCAAGTCTTTTCAAATATCTGGAAAGCCTTCCCAATAAGGATGGCTACAAATAAGCCCAGACAGTGAAGACTACAATAAACACCTAACTCTTCAATGCCCAGACACCAAAGAACATCTACTAGCGTCAACACCGTCCAGGAAAACATGACCTTACCAAATGAACTAAATAAGGCACCAGGGACCAATACTGGAGAAACAGAGATATGTGACCTTTCAAATAGAGAATTCAAAATAGCTGCATTGAAGTAACTCAAAGAAACTCAAGATCACACAGAGAAGGAGTTCAGAATTCTATCACATAAATGTAACAAAGAGATTGAAATAATTAAAGAATCAAGCAGAAATTCTGGAACTGAAAAATTCAGTTGGCATACTGAAGAATGCATCAGATTTTCCTTTAATAGCAGAATTTATCAAGCAGAAGAAAGAATTAGAGAGCGTGAAAACAGCCTATTTGAAAATACAGAGTAAGAGGAGACAAAATTAAAAAAATAAAAAACAATGCAGCTTGCCTACAGGATCTAGAAAATAATCTCAAGGGCAAATCTAAGACTTTTTGGTCTTAAAGAAGTGGTTGAGAAAGAGATATGGGTAGAATGTTTTTTCAAAGGAACAAGACCAGAGAACTTCCCAAACCTAGAGAAAGATATCAATATGCTAGTACAAGAAGGTTATAGAACACCAAGCAGATTTAACCCAAAAAAGTCTACCTCAAGGCATTTAATAATCAAACTCCCAAAAGTCAAGGATAAATAAAGGATCCTAAGAGCAGCCAGAGAAAAGAAACAAATAACATAAAATGGAGGTCCAATATGTCTGGCAGCAAACTTCAGGGGAAACTTTACAAACCAGGAGAGAGTGGCATGACATATTTAAAGTGCTGAAGGAAAACAAAAACAAAAACAAAAACAAAAATATTTCACCCTAGAATAGTATATCAGGCAGAAATAGCCTTCAAACATGAAGGAGAAATAAGTATTTTCTCAGACAAACAAGACCTGAGGGATTCCATGAATACCAGACCTTTCCTACCAGACGTGCTAAAGGGAGTAGTTCCATCAGAAAGAAAAAGACATTAATGAGCAATAAATAATCACCTGAAGGTACAAAACTCACTGGTAATAGTAAGTAAATGGAAAAACAAAGAATATCATAACACTGTAACCGTGGTGTGTAAACTACTTTCATCCTAAGTAAAAAGACTCAAAAATAACCAATAAATTATAATAACTAAAATAACTTTTCAAGACATCATCAGTACAATAAGATATAAATGGAAACAACCAAAAGTTAAAAAGTGAGGAGACAAAGTTAAAGCATAGAGTTTTATTAGTTTTCTTTTTGCTTGTTTGTTTGTTTATGCAAATAATGTTAAGTTGTTATTCGGTAAAATAATAGGTTATTTATAAGATAGCATTTTCAAGCCTCATGGTAACTTCAGACCAAAAAACATACAATGGACTCACAAAAAATAAAAAGCCGGGAACTACTTTATATGATCAGAGAAAATCACCTCTGCTAGAGGAAGATAGAAAGGAAAGAAAGAAGAAAGAGAAGACCAAAAAACAACCAGAAATCAAATAACAAAATGGCAGGAGTATGTCCTTACTTACCAGTAATAACATTGAATGTAAATAGACTAAACTCTCCCATCAAAAGACATAGACCGGCTGAATAGATTTAAAAAAAAAAACAAGACCCATTGATATGTTGCCTACAAGAAACACAGCCTACAAATACACACAAAGGCTTAAAACAAAGCAATAGAAAAAGAAACCCCATGCCAATGGAAACCAAAAAAGAGCAGAAGTCACTATATTATATCAGACAAAATAGATTTCAAGAAAAAACTATAAGAAGAGACAAATAAGGTCACTATATAATGATAAAGGGGTAAATTCAGCAAGAAGATATAACAATTTTAAATATATATGCACCCAACAGTGGATCACCCAGATATATAAAGGAAACATTATTAGAGCTAAAGAGAGAGCTAGGCCCAAATACAATAATAGCTGAAGGTTTCAACACTCCACTTTCTGCATTGGACAGATCTTCCAGACAGAAAATCAACAAGAAATATCAGACTTATTCTGCACTATAGACCAAATGTATCTAATAGATACTTACAGAACATTTCATCCAACAGCTGCAGAATACATATACTTTTCCTCAGCATATGGAACATTATCAAAGATAAGCCATATATTAGGTCACAAAACAAGTTTTAAAACATTCAGATGATTAGGGCATCTTCTCTGACCACATGGAATAAAAGTAGAAATTAGTAATGAGAGGAGTTTTGGAAACTATAAAAATACATGAAAATTAAACAATATGTTCCTAAATAACCAGTGAATCAATGAAGAAATTAGGAAGAAAATTGAAAAATTTCTTGAAACAAATTATAATGGAAACACAACATACCAAAACCAATGGGATACAGCAAACTAAGAGGGAAGTTTATAGCTATAAGTACCTATATCAACAAAAAGGAAACACTTCAAATGAACAATATAACAATACATCTTAAAGAACTAGAAAAGCAAAAGCAAACCTAACCCAAAAGTAGTAGAATAAAATAAATAATAAAGATCAGAGCAGAAATAAGTTACATTGAAATGAGAAAAAATACAAAAGATCAATGAAACAAAAAGTTGTGTTTTTTTTGAAAAGTTTAACAAAATTGACAAATCTTTAAGCCAGACTAGAAAAAAAAAGAAAGAAGATCCAAATAAATAAAATCAGAAATGAAAAAGGAGGCATTACAATTGATGCTGCAGAAATTCAGAGGATCGTTAATGGCTACTATGAGCAACTATATGCCAATAAGTTGGAAAATCTAGAAGAAATAGACAAATTCCTAGATATATAGAACCTACCAAGATTAAACCAGGAAAAAATCCAAAACTTGAACAGATCAATAACATGTAACAAGATTGAAGCTGTAATAAAGTCTCCCAATAGAGAATAGCCAGGACCTGATAGCTTCAATGCTGAATTCTAACAAACATTTAAAGAACTAATACCAATACTACTCAAACTATTCTGAAAAATAGAATAGGGGGACACTACTTCTAAACTCATTTTGCAAAGCCAGTATTATCCTAATACCAAAATCAGACAAACACACATCAAAAAAAGAAAACCACAGACCAATATCTCTGATGAATATCAATGCAAAAATCTCAACAAAATACTAGCAAACTCACTTTGGGAGGCCAAGATGGGTGGATCACGAGGTAGGTCAGGAGATCGAGACCATCCTGGCTAACACTGTGAAACCCCGTCTCTACTAAAAATACAAAAAATTAGCTGGGCATGGTGGCAGGTGCCTGTAGTCCCAGCTACTCAGGAGGCTGAGGCAGGAGAATGGCATGAACCCGGGAGGTGGAGCTTGCAGTGAGCCGAGATCACGCCACTGCACTCTAGCCTAGGTGACACAGCAAGACTCCATTAAAAAAAAAAAAAAACTAGCAAACTGAATTCAACAATACATTAGAAAGATCATTCATTATGACCAATTGGGATTTTCTCTGGAATACAAGGATGGTTCAACATATGCGAATCAATCAATGTGCTACATCACATCAACAACGTGAAGGATAAAAAATGTATGATCATTTTAACTGATGCTGAAAAAGCATTTGATAAAATTTAACATCCCTCATAATAAAAACCCTCAAAAAACTGGGTGTAGGAGGAGCATACCCAAACATACTAACAGCCATGTATGACAGACCCACAGTTAATATCATACTGAATAGGAAAAAAATGAAAGCCTTTTCTCTAAGATCTGGAACACAGCATGGGTTCCCACTGTCACCACTGTTATTCAAAACAGTACTGGAAGTTCTAGCTAAGGCAATCAGGCAAGAGAAAGATATAAAGGGCATCCAAATTAAAGAGAAAAAAGTCAGATTATCCTTGTTTGCAGATGATATGATCTTATATTTTGAAAAACTTAAAGACTCCTCAAAAAAACTATTGAACTGATAAAAAAATTCAGTGAAGTTGCAGAATACAAAATCAACATACAAAAATCAGTAGCATATTTATATGTTAATAGTGAACAATATGAAAAAGAAATTTAAAAGGTAATCCCATCTACAATAGTCACACATGAAGTTAAATACATAGGGATTAACTTAACCAAAGAAGTGAAAGATCTTGATAATGAAAACTACAGAACACTGATGAAATTGAAGAGGACACCAAAAAATGGAAAAATATTCCATGTTCATGGATTGGAAGAATCAATATTGTTAAAATGTTCATACTACCCAAAGAAATATACAGATTCAATGCAATCCCTATCAAAATACCAATGGCATTCTTCACAGAAATAAAAAAAATTATAAAATTTATATGGAACCACAAAAGACCCAGGATTTCCAAAGCTATTCTAAGCAAAAAGAATAAAACAAGAGGAATCACATTACCTGACTTCTAATTATACTACAGAGCTATAGTAATCACAACAGCTTGGTACTGGCATAGAAACAGACCCATAGACAAATGGAACAGAATAGAGAACCCAGAAACAAATCCACACAGCTATACTGAACTCATTTTTGACAAAGATGCCAATAATATAAACTGGGTAAAAGAGTCTCTTCAATAAATGGTGCTGGGAAAACTGGATATTCATATGCAGAAGAATGAAACTAGACCCCCATCTCTCACCATATACAAAAATCAAATAAAAATGGATTAGAGACTAAAATCTAAGGCCTCAAACTATGAAACTACTACAAGAAAACATTGGGGAAAATCTCTGGGACATTGATTTGGGCAAAAATTTCTCAACCAATACCCCACAAGCACAAGCAACCAAAGCAAAAATAGACAAAAGGGGTCACATCAAGTTAAAAAGCTTTTGCACAGCAAAAGATACAATCAACAAAGTGAAGAGATAATCCACAGAATGAGAGAAAATATATTAATAACCAGAATATATAAAGAGCTCAAACAACTCTATAGGAAAAAAAACCTAAAAATTTTATCAAAAAATGAGCAGAATATTTGAATAGGCATTTCTGAAAAGAAGACACACAAATGGCAAACAGGCATATGAAAAGATGGTCACTATCATTGGTCATTAGAGAAATGCAAATCAAAACTACAATGAGACATTATCTCATCCCAGTTAAAATGGCTTATATCAAAAGACGGGCAATAACGAATGCTGGTAAAGCTATGGAGAAAAGGTAACTCTTGTATACTTTGGTGGGAATGTAGATTTTTACAACTACTATGGAGAACAGTCTGAACATTCCTCAAAAAAGTAAAAATTGAGCTACCATATGATCCAGCAATCCCACTTCTTGGTATATACCCCTAAGAAAGGAAATCAGCATATGAAAGAGATATCTGCATTTCTGTGTTTGTTGCAGCACTATTTACAATAGCTAAGATTTGGAAGCAACATAAGTGACCACCAATGGAAGAATGGATAAATAAAATGTGGTACATATACACAATGGAGTACTATTCAGCCATAAAAAAATAAGAACCAGTCATTTGCAACAATATGGATGGAACTGGAGATCATTATGTTAAGAGAAATAAGCCAAGCACAGAAAGACAAAATTGCATGTTCTCACCTATTGTGGTATCTAAAAATCAAAACAATTGAACTCATGGACATAGAGAGTAGAAGGATGGTTACGAGAGGCTGGGAAGGGTATTGGGAGGGTGGCAGAGGGAGGTGCGGATGGCTAATGGGTACAAAACAATAGCTGGAAAGAATGAATAAGACCTACTATTTGATAGCACAACAGGTTGACAATAGTCAATAATCACTTAGTTGTACCTTTTAAAATAGCTTAGAGTGTAATTGAATTGTTTGTAACTTGAAGGATAAATGCTTGAGGGGATGGATACCCCATTCTCCATGATATGCTTATTTCACATTGCATGCCTGTATCAAAACATCTCCTATACCCCATAAATATATGCACCTACTATGTACCCAAAAAAATTGAAATTAAAAAACAAACATGAGCGGAAGGCAAACAATTCTGCCTGAGGAGCAGTGGTTCCACCCAGTTTTCTCTCATAGAACCCCAGTTGCTGTCTTGGAGTTGGCTTGTCTCCAAACCCTCTACTTCGTTCCATTTGTTCCGCTCGTGTAGCCTGTCTTTGCTTTTGACCAGGCCCATGCCTAGCTGTATAGCTATCTGCTAACCTGGACTTACTGACCTGGAGTGCACACCATGCCTGCTCTCTCATGGCTGGCCTCACATGCTGAAGTCTGGACTTGGCTTCCTTCCCTGGATCCATGGTACCCACGGGCACTTTCTGCTTTCCCTGGTGTTCCATGGCCATTCTTCTGGCCTGGCTCTGGTTCCTGGCCTTTTCTGAGAGAAGTCCTATTTTTCTGCTGCTTCTGCTGCTGCTGCTTCTGCCAGACTGGGTTGGATTCCTTTGTACTCTTGCCTGAGCAGCTCAGAGTTTTTGTCATTTTTTTATTCCCTCACATTACCAATAAGAAGTAATTGCAAGAAGGGTAGAAAGTAGAACCAGAGTATTGTCTCCATTTTACAGATAGCTAGACTCAAATCCAAAACATTAAGGTGGCTATGTTCGTCAAATTAAGACCAGCTTAATACAGTACCAGCTTCCCCTGACACTCATTCCTGCTCTCTTCTCTGCCAGTATTCTCAAGATTTGGGAGAATGCTGTTGCAGTAACACAGGAGATGAGACCCAAAGCAGGATACACCACCTGCCAATGTCTTGTTCACCCTCAGCCCTCTGACATGACCTTGGAAGAAAGAGGAAATTCTGTTTCTATGTAAAGAAGGCCATCAAGGGAAGGTTTACTGTATTGGTTTCCCAGTACTACCATAACAAAATACCACAAACTAGGTGGCTTAAAAAAACAGAAATTTGTTGTCTTATAGTTCTGGAGGCTGGTAGTTCCAAATCAAGGTGTTCAAAGAGCAATGTTCCCTCAGAAAACTGTAAGGGACTTTTTTCTTGCTGCTTTGTAGCTGCTGGTGTTGCCTGCAATGTTTGGCATTCCTCAGCTTGTAGATGTATTATTCTGATGCTCTGTCTTCACACAGCATTCTCCCAGTGTCTCTGTCTTCACCTGGCTGTCTTCATAGAGGATAACAGTCGTATTGAATTAGGGGCCCACCCGACTCCACTATGATCTCATCTTAACTAGTTACACCTGTAACAACCCTATTTCCAAATGAGGTCACATTTTGAGTTACTGGGGCTTAGAATCTCAACATATCCTTTTTTCAGTGACATGTAAAGTTCACTCATAAAGTGACTATCATAAATTCAGCTCATAAAGGCATTAAAATAAGTTGAATTCCCTTTTAGGAGAAGAAGTGGTCCAAGGGCATGGGGATCACAGAGCATGAAAAGGCAAACACACCTTAAAAATGCTTTTGAGGGCCAGTCACGGTGGCTCACGCCTGTAATCCCAGCACTCTGGGAGGCCGAGACAGGTGGATCATGAGGTCAGGAGTTCAAGATCAGCCTGGCCAACATGGTGAAACCCTGTCTCTACTCAAAATACAAAAAATAGCCGGGTGTGGTGGCACGCACCTGCAATCCCAGTACTCAGGAGGCTGAGGCAGGAGAATGGCTTGAACCTGGGAGATGGAAGTTGTGGTGAGCTGAAATCGTGCCACTGCACTCCAGCCTGAGTGATAGAGTGAGACTCTATCTCAAAAAAAAAAAAAAAATATATATATATATATATATATATATATATATACACATACATATGCTTTTGAGGTTTGCATCAAGAAGCAGGTACCCAGGTATCCTATCTTCTAGTCCCCTCCTCACAAGGCAGGAGTGGCTCACAGGCACCAGCTCCCCTGCAGGGCCTTGTAGGAAGACTCTGACGACAGCAAGATCTCCCCAACACATATTATAAAGTGAGAGGCACAGGCATTTGTGCCTTTGCTTCTGGGGAGAGTCCTGCATTCAGAACTTTTCTTGACACTTAATTCAGTCTTGTCCTCAAATTTTCCAGAATCCAGAGGCCAAAACTAAGGTTCAGTTCTTGAATTTGCCTCATGTTCAAGTGTTATCACATTTATTATACTGAGGACATGTGGGCCCAGATGAGTATGTTCTTTGTACAGGTTGGAGAATCTGGAAAATCTAGAAATCAAACTACAGTCTCAGTTGAAAAAGCCAGGGAGATTTATTCTGAAGAAGAGAATAAAGGATTGGGGAATGGAAATAATGACTGCTTTCAAACAATTGACGAGCTATTACTTAAGGAGACAAATGGTTCTTACATATTAGTTTTTCTTTTTGATAGAAACCCCTAGCAAACAAAAAATATTAATACAGAAGTATAAAGAAATTGAACAGGGAAAAAGAGAGAGAGAGATGCTCAAGTTGAAGCAGAATGTTTCAGGAGATAGGCCAAGCTCTCTCAAAATATAATTTTGAGCATGTCAAAGACTCAAAGAACCTGAGAGTTGTAAAGCAACTTGAGGTAATGTCATCTTTGTTTTCTTTCTTAGTGCAGGAAATACTTTTATTGCATTCCTGACAGTGGTCTTCTAGCTACCACTTGATTATTTCAAAGACACAGAAATCACTAACTATACCACAGAGCATCCCATTACCTTTTGGATGGTCAGTTTTAATTATTAGAAGATTCTTCCTTATCTTGAGCCAAACTTTAACCCTTGATTTCAACCACCCTTTGGATAATCCTCGGCCTAGTTTCCAGTGTATGTTTTCCAGACGGGTTCCATTCAGCTCTAGGGTTTCTGGAGACCCTCCTGTATCTGTCTATGATGGAATGAGGAAGACAGAGTGATAACACTTGAACATGAAGACAGCGCAGAAATCATATAATTAATTTTCTCATTTACTTGTAGTCCTAAGACGGAGGGCATAACCTGCAGAAGTCAAGTTTGCCTAAAAATATATATATATTTATTTTAATTTAATTTTGTTTTTTTTTTTGGAGGCAGAGTCTTACTCTGCTACCTAGGCTGGAGTGCAGCGGTATGATCTTGGCTCACTGCAACTTCTGCTTCCTAGGCTTAAGTGATTTTCATGCCTCAGCCTCCCAAGTAGCTGGAATTGCAGGTGCACACCATCACGCCCAGTTAATTTTTGTATTTTTAGTAGAGACAGGGTTTCACCATCTTGGCCAGGCTGGTAACTCAGGCAGTCTGCCTGCCTTGGCCTCTCAAAGTACTAGGATTATAGATGTGAGCCACGTTGACCAGCCAAAAAATTTGTGATACTGAATTCCAATCCTCTCGGAAGTGATCATGAAGACTAATTTCCTGGTTCTGAAAGTTTTCCTTTATTTGATCTTTGTATGTCATTTTACTGTCACAGAGTTGCTAGGGAGTAATCATTTCCACTCTCAGCCTACCCTAGACACACACCATGCTCATTCTTAAATCCATGAGTGTAGCACACTTTATCCCTCAACTAGTACTGATTGTATTTAGCAGGCTGCAGTCATTGAAGGCAAGGACTCTGTATCCACATGCACTAATGCTTTCCTTTTACTAGGTGCTCTACAATGTGTGTTGAATGACTGAATGATGCATCTTTCTATGCTGTTATTCTTGGCTTCTTGTCTATCTTCCATCTCCCTACCCATCTAAATTGGAATGATAAGCAACTTGAGGTGAGGTCTGATGCTCTGTATGCTGCTGAAATGGCAGAGCCCTTAGGGAATGCTGGGCACTGGAGAGTAACAGAATAAATACTGTTGATGGATGATTAGAGAATGAGTGGGTCAATTGTCGCCATGTAAGTCTGGGATTCATACACATGGGCATGTACTTACATTTCTATTCATGTTTTATATAAAGGGCTTTTGACTCACCTTGGTACCTTGATCCAGTTTCCTCCAGCACAGTCCTGTGGTCAATGCTCGGGTCATGGAAATACTTCACATAGATGCGACAGCACACACATCTTTTATGAGCTCTGGTGACTTGGGTTGTACCTTGAAATTGCAAAAGTGAAGGTTTGTTTAATGATTTTTAATTAATTTTAATTACTTACATTTTGAATGGTGGCTTAGCATTCTGAATCCCAGCCCCTCAGATCACTCTGGGATGCATGCCAATTTTCTCATTACACACTGCTCCCCTAACACTATTTGATAATGAAAGGCTTTAAAGCAACCCCCACTCAAATATTCAATATGTAATGGGGAGCTCTTGGGAGACAGGAGTGGATTACAGTGTGAGGTATAGATAATATAGCTTATTGGACCTGAATTTATAAAAAGATATTTTCAGCGGGGGAACATTCTGCTTTTGGCAATGAGGCAGAACTCTTCCTCCTTTTACCCTTGTCACTGTGCTTCAGTGTCCTAACCCTAATGCAATCCTCATCAATGCCTGGAATGATGAGCTAATAGGAGCAATAGTCCCAAAGGGATTAGATTGCATTTCCCCTAAAGGTTGAAATGTCATTTAATTTTAAAAGATGTATTGGAGATAAATCAGAGGAGAGCGAGAAGTGGGAAGCATTCACTCACTAACGGAGAGGACATAGGTAAGATACTTTTTAGTTTTAGATGGTAAAACACACACCAGCATAGACTTCCAAGCAAGGTTGAGAACTCCCTAGGGGCAAAGACCATAGCATTTTGTAATGTACGTGAACTTTGACACAATACCAGTGAAGTTCCAAACACTGAAATGTTTTAGCTGTGGGATCAGGGAAAATAATTTAGCACTCAGAATTTAGTTTCCACAGTTCTAAACTCATTCCTGTCTCAACGACCATGGAGAAAGTTCAATATAGTATTTGGCACATATTAGATGCCCCCAAGTAGTAATCTCTTCCCTCCTTTATCTTATGTTTAAAACTATAAACAGGTCTTGTTTTTTTTTTTTTTTTTTGAGACCACATAGGGAAAGTTCTACCTAGAGGCAAGGGAGGATAAAATGATTCCTGGAATTATATATAGTGCCAAAATATTCCAAGGATATGATAATTTAACAGGCCTCATTTGTCTGTCTCCACTCTGATGTTGTCTAGAGAGAAAAGCAGTAGTAGAAGAAAGAGTTATATCTGCTGGAGAATATATGACAAACTTGATCCAATAGGTGATGGCCTATGGCCCTGGTTTCCTGAGGGTCCTGAGACTATGAATGAATGTTGTTCAGAGTGCTTGTGCTAGTGATGTAGCCTGAACCAGCTGATCAGTCTTGGGCATCAGAGAACTATGTATACAGCTTCCTGCTGCTGCTGAGACACTCAGCTTATTATCAGAGCTGAAATGGGAGGGGGTCAGACTACTATATTTTTGTGGACAATGTGGCTCACAGAGGAGTAAGATATAGCCACTCATGTTTATTCAAAGGATTTAGAAACACTACTTTTTGAGGTGAAGGCTGAGTGTTACTCCAATTCCAGATGCTTGTCAAAGATATTTACTGGTCATCATATAAGATATTTCATTTCTCTCTTTTTCTCTGCCCATTTCATTCTTAACTGGCTGCTTTTCCACTTTCTTTATTTTTCCCTTGGCTAACAACTGAGAGTTGCCATTTGAAGTCTCTGTCAGGAGTTGTGAAGTAGATATTTGTTAAGGTGATTAGGAATTGTTATCAAAGGAAAGAAATTTTAAGAATTATATGAGGCCAGCAGAGATGGCTCATGCCTGTAATCCCAGAACTTTGAGAGGCCAGGGCAGGCAGATCGCTTGAGCTCATGAGTTTGAGAGCAGCTTGAGCAACATGGCAAAGCCCTGTCTCTACAAAAATAGAAACATTAGCAAAGGTTGGTGGTGTGTGCCTGTAGTCCCAGCTACTCAGGAAGCTGAGGTGGGAGGATTGCTTGAGCCTAGGAGGTTGAGGCTGCAGTGAGCTGTGATTGCAGCTTTGCACTCCAGCCTGGGTGACAGAGTGAGACTCTGTCTCAAAAAAAAAAAAAAGAAAAAGAAGGGAATTATATGAGTTCACCAAAGTCAAGGATATTTGTTCTTAGCAGACTTCTTTTCTTGATCAACTCCTTGTCAAAAGACCGAAGAGGAAGTGATGGGTGCTGCCACCCAGGGATGTTGGAAGTGAAGGTGAACTCAGTAGAGGTGAGTCAAGTGGGAAGTAGCCGACCTCTTTTCTGTCCACAGTCTGTGCATAATTCATAGCACAGAGATTACATACAATTTCTTATTCGTGAACCGTTAAGCAGACTGGTTATTACTCTTGGCCAACTGAAAGGAGATGACTCCCTCTACCAGCATCAAGGACACATAAACATTCTCAGACCCTTAGAAAACAGTCATCAGTTCCTTCAAAATCCTTAGTTTTGAACTCTTGCTAAGCTGTTGCATATCCCCTTTCAAAAGGACCTTTTGCACCAAAAGACTCCACTGTCAGCAGGTGTAAATACAAGTATCACTCCTGGAGTATGGAGGACTGAGGGACAGGAGGTATACAGGCTGAAAGGGAAAGAAAAAAATAGAAGGAGTAAAGTCTACTCATTTTCTTCCTTATGGCAGTTGGAATTGAATAAAAAATAAGCCAGGGGCCCTACATTAACTAGGTTTCAATTCTATTCCTTCCTCTCAGCCCTGTCTTCTCATCCACATCAGAAGATGGTCCAAGTGTCTGTAATCTTGAGATGAATCATAACAGGTGTTTGAAGTAAAAGCTGGGAGTACTACTTCTGCTCTTGTGTTTTCCATGCAGCCAGAGTGAGTGAAGAGAGAAGAGCAGATGGGAGGGGGAGTCACAGAAGAAGTGTGGGCACGCAAGCTTTGTGTCATGGGAACTTCCCCCCAAGAGTGGGGTGCATTGGCATCGTGGTTTCACATAGGTGTGTGCCACAAGACACTGAGACTCACCTGCTTTCTTTACCCAATAGTTTAGAAAGCCAGCAAAATCCTTGTGTAGCCTGGATCAAATTCACTCCCATGCTACCCTGCTCAAGGTCCCAGAAGTATTTTTGTGTTCAATGCTATGGAGTAAAAGCTAAAAAGATACAGTTCCTGTCTTTGCAGTTTAACAAATTTTTATAGGCATTTCATATCTGACAGCCATTTCATGCTTCTTTTACTAAAGCTTGGGAGGCAGCCGGGGCCAGTTCTCAACACCTTTGAGAAGAGAATTTCGCTTCTTTGAAATTTTAGAGCAAGTTTTTTATAGCTTTGGCTCCTGTGTGTTCCTCGGCGCCTGTATGTGACGCATGTTGTGTTGCTTCCACATTTTTGTCAGTGTCTGGAAGTCTCCGAAGAGTTGGCAATGTCTCTCGCTAGCCCCAGGGACTCACTTTTGTTTCTTCATTGACTGAGTTTGTTCGCTCTCTTTCTACTCTTTTCTTCTCTCACTTAAAAAAAAAAATAGCAAAAGGCATTTTAAATGAGTGAGGCAGTAAGGTGCCAGAGTTGTGACTTCCATACCTCAGTGAGTAATGATAGGATTAAAAAACATTCCATATGTTTCATTCAGGTAGCTGTCCAGGGACCTTGCCATAAATAGAAAGTGATAGAAAGCAGGATATCACAGTGGAGCACAATACAGAGCCGTGTTCACAGAGTCCCATTACACCTCTTTCTTCCCTTCCCATCCAGCTCCCCAGGGCCTGGAGGAGCTGGGATGAAAGAGCCTTTCATGGAATGAAAAGCCAAGAAAGCCACACAATTGCCAGTGTCTTGGAGACAACAGCAAATGGAGTGTGACGCTCAGTTAATTAAGTGATGAAGGCAACAGAGCTCTTCCTGAGTTCGGTTGCCCTGGTCCCTTCAGAAGCAGAGGCAAGTCTGAGTTCGAGCCCTTCTGGTCCTAACAACTTTGCCCTCAGGGGTTTATCTGAGCTCTGCCTTGAGGCAGAGTGGAAAATAATCACCACCAATTCTAAAGCTGACAGAAGTTCTTTTTCGAGGTTCTTCTCCTCCACTGCGGTGGTGTGTGGTGTGTGGAAATAGCATTGAATTTGCAATCCAGTAGTCTCAGATACCAGTCCTGGCTGGACTTCCTTCTTGCTACAACTTGATTTCTCCTCCGTAAAGTGGGTTAACAGTAATTCTTACATCACAGGGCCATTGAAAGGATCAAGTAACATAAATATGTGTTTTATAAACTAATAGGTATTATCATGACATTGACATTGTAACTACTCCTAACTGGACTGAAAACATTCAAAGAAAGGCAGACTAGAGCTGATGAGAAAATGAAAGAGGTCCAAATGGAAGGGAGTGAATTGATATATATTTCTTTTTTTTCTTGAGACAGAGTCTCACTCTGTCACCCAGGCTGGAGTGCAGTGATGTGATCTCATCTCACTGCAACCTCTGCCTCCCAGGTTCAAGCAATTCTGGGACTACAGGTGTGCGCCACCATCCCCGGCTAATTTCTGCATTTTTAGTAGAGATGGGTTTTTTGCCATGTTGGCTAGGCTGGTCTCGAACTCCTGGTCTCAAGTGATCTGCCTGCCTGAGCCTCCCCAAATGCTGGGATTACAGGTGTGCACCACTGCATCCAGCCAATTGTATATGTACGTATACATACGTATACATACATATATATTTTATTTTCATTTATTTATATTTTGAGATGGAGTTTTGCTCTTGTTGCTCAGGCTGGAGTGCAATGATGTGATCTTGGCTCATTGCAACCTCTGCCTCCCAGGTTCAAGCAACTCTCCCGCCTCAGCCTCCCGGGTGGCTGGGATTACAGGCATGAGCCACCACACAAGGCTAATTTTGTATTTTCAGTAAAGACGGGGTTTCACCATGTTGGTCAGGCTGGTCTCGAATTCCTGACCTCAGGCGATCTGCCTGCCTTGGCCTCCCAAAGTGCTGGGATTACAGGCATGAGCCACCATGCCTGGCTATATATTTTTATTTTTAAAATTAGGTTACACATGCCATCTTAAAAATAAGCCCTGTTTTTTCTTGTCTCCTCATTCTATTTTGTTTTCTTTAACATTAGCCCACCCAGCTGGCTAGAGAAAAATTAAATCACAAATGAATAATCATTTAATTGTGATTTTTGCATAGTAGTAAGTGCTCAGGATGTATATGAATTAACCAGAAAGTCCACATCTAGTAGACAAAAAGAAGACTCCCTGGATGAAGCCTAGGTAGTCTTCTGGCCAGTGATCTGCCTGTCCCTGCATGGAAGGTGGCCTGCCTCTCAGAGATTCTTGAGTCCCTCCTATGACCTCTGGATTTATTGGTGTTCACTTGACAAATGAACTTAGCCATCTGAGTTTCTGAATTTGTCTGAACAATGTGAGTTTGGTTTCTCAGAGGTCTTTGCTCCTGGTGCCTATATCTGCTTCTCCCCAGAACATCATGTCAACTTTTCATCTCCACATCCACACCCCTAGACTAATAAGTCAGTCCTTCTCCGTGATTGCTCCCAACTTTATTGGTTGGTGCTGACACCACTAGCCTTGTCAGAGCTATTGAATAGGTAAGTTTTTGCATTCCTCTTCTTGACAGATTCAAAGTCTTTATTTATGTCTTTCCTAAGGTAAAAACTTTCTCAGAATCTCAGGCGTGTCCTATAATTTATAAAATAATACAAAACTCCAACCAAGTCTGGTATGAAAGCATATATCAGCATTTCCAGTGGTACCCAAATGCCCAACCCCTGTCTTTTCAGATACAATAGGTGAGATTACATTAAAACAGTGGTTCTCACATTCTTCTACAATCTGGCATTCTCAGATTAGAAGAGATAGCTCAGTACAGAAGTGATTCTTGTGAGGATAGGAGGGGTGGTAAGGGGAAATACCTTTCTTCAGTTGGACCAGAAGCTTGAGGAGGAAGAGGAGGTATGCTAATTTAAATAGGACTCTTCAGTGGGAGCTGGAATGTGGTTAAGGCTAAACACATGAATTGCCCATCGGGGTTACTTCTTGAAACATGAGACTAATGTCACTACTCCTTGGCTTTCATCATCAGCTCTAGAACCATAATTTTTCCGTAATGTATCATATGATTATAATTTGACTTGTTCAGGCTCCTCCCAGGACCAGAGCACAAACTCATGCCGTAGCTCTATTCAGACGTTTTTATATTGTTCCATGGAGCTGCAATCTCTTTTGGGAACTATACCAGGCTACATAGTATGCCTCCTTCATGTTAATGTTCACCCAGAACCTCAGACCTTATTTGGAAATAGAGACAGTGATGATGAATTTTATGTGTTAACTTTACTGGGTTAAGGGATAGACCAGATATTTGGTCAAACATTATTTCAGGGTGTGTTTGGAGTGTGTTTATGGAAGAGATTAGTATTTCAATTGGTAGACTGAGTGAAAAAGAGCGCTCTCACTAATGCAGTTGGGCAGCATCTAATACATTGAGGGCCCAGATAGAACACAAAGGCAGAGGAAGGATAAATTTGCTCTATCTTTAAGAGCTGAAATGTCTGTCTTCTCCTGCCCTCAGACATCTGTGCTTCTGGTTCTTGGGCCTTCAGACCCAGAATGGGACTTACACCATCATCTTCTCTGGTTCTCAGGCCGTTAAACTTGAAAAGAATTATATCACTGGCTTTCCTGGATCTCTAGCTCACAGATGACAGACTGTGGGGCTTCTCAGCCTCCAAAATCACATGAACTAATTCTTATGATAAATCACCTCATATATATATTTATAAATAAAGCAGATTGCCCTCTGTAATTTAGGTGACCTTAATCTAATCAGTTGAAGGCCTGGATAGAACAAAAAGGCAAACCCTACTGCAAGTAAGAGGGAACTCCTCCTGCCTGGCTGGAAGCTGGGACATTGATCTTTCCTGGCATTTGGACTCAAACTGAAACATCTGCTCTTTTTGGGTTTCAAGGCTGCTGGCTTTTGGACTGAAACTTATAGCACCGGCTTTCTTGGATTTCGGGCCTTCAGACTCAGACTGAACTGCACATAGCACCCCCGGGTTCCTAGCTTGCCAACTGCAGATCTTGGGACCTCTCAGCCTTCATAATTGTGTGAGCCAGTTCCTTATAATAAATTGTGTGTGTGTGCCTGTGTGTGTGTGTGTGCATGCAATCTCCTATTGGCTCCATTTCTCTAGAGAACCCTGACTAATACAGGGGCTTTGGAGATGTAATTTATTAATCTAAGATAAGGTCATACTGCATTTGGGTGGGCCCTGTTCCCACAACTGATGTCTTTATAAGAAGAGAAAACAGAGGCAGAGGCTCTTAGAGAGAACATCACATGATGACAGAGGCAGAGGTTAGGGTGATACACCTGCAAGCCCAGGGACACCAATGACTGTCAGCAACCACCAGCAGCCAGCAGAGAAGCATGGAGCAGATTCTCCCTTGGAGTACCCAGAAGGAACCAACTTTGCTGGTATCTTGATTTCAGACCTCTAATCTCCAGAACAGTGAGAGGATACATTTCTGTAATTGTAAGTGACCCAGTTTGTGGTACTTCGTTATGGCAGTCCTAAGAAATTGCTACAGTTTCCTACTCAACAACCTGCCTGCAATCAGTTCCTCTCTACTCTCTACTGCCATCCAGGACCGAGGTGCTGGTTCCCAGGCCCACCTGATGTCACATTGCTCCATCAATGTGATGAAGGCCCTCCTACTCTTACCCTCCCCATCTGCCTTCCCTGCTGATGAGCAGCTTGTCTGTCTGGGTCTCTTCTAGTGCCTGCCCTGAGTCTTCCCCTGTTATGGTCTGGAACAAGCCGTCACAGCCTTCTTGCTACCTTCACTGGCACCATCGGATGGCCTGGACTCCCACCTGCTTCCTGATGTCAGCCCTCTGGCCACAAGGAGCCATCCACCTGGCTGCAGCAGGGTCCGTCTCCACAATGCCTACTCCATCCCCACTGTGTTGGGAGGGGATAGTTTGTTCTAGGTCTGATTCCAGTCTATTTTACCCTCTTAGATATCCTTCTGTGCCAGGTTACCTGGTGAGGCAGGAAAGTCAGGATCTGAATTCTCTGAAATCTTGTTGTCATCCCCTCAGAAAGTATTGTTTGATGCAGGTGTCCTCCTGCCTCCGTTTTATTTACTGTGCAGCAAGTAGAGTCCCTTTATCTGCTTGGCACTTGGCCTCATTTAGATTCTTAAATGTGCTGGCGAAAGAGTCTGTCTTTCTGTGGGGAGCTCCTTTTGTTGTTTCATCCTTTTGACTTTCTTCCTTCTTCCTCTTTCTTTCTTCTAAAAATGAAAACAAAGGAATTTTAAATGAGCCAATTCATTGCTTACAAAAATGGTCTTATCCATATTTTGGTGAGTAATTAGTAGCATCGGAATCCTGCCTGAGCAATTTTTTTTGCCTCCCATCCCACCCCAATCAGCCTAAAAGTTATAATCTCTAAAATCAGAGTAAGAGGATACTTCGGCTGCTTTTTATGCCCAAAAAATTATATACATGTACATATGTGTACATATATATGTCTTTTTGTGTATTTATAGAGTATGTGAGACAGAGAAAGACAGATTAACTAATCAGTCACAGGAGGCATATGACACATGGATACAAGAGGCAACTACAAGGATTACTAGAAGCCAGTTGGGTGAGAACCGTGTACACCTGCACAGGACAGATGCTGGAAACAAAGATACACTATCTCTGGCACCTTTTTATGGAAAAAGAAATTTACCTCACTTTGGGGATGTGTGACTGTGGAGAATGTGGCTTAGTATTTATGGAGTGTTCATCTTGTAGTTAGCGGTTTGTCAATTCGTAAAATTTTAGAACTAGAGGACCTCTTACCTTAAAGATTAGGAAATGGAGCCCACGGAGGTTATCCATTCCATAAGCCACAAGCAATAAAGTATGGCCACTCACATCTAGAAACACATCTTGAATGCAGAATCAGTGCCCAGCAGTCACAGGACTGAAAGGAACTTTCATGACTTTTCTTCTCTGTCAACAGTAATAGGTGGATCTTTGGGATTTCTGGTCATTTAGGCCACTCAGTAACTGGATCCCAGTTTCCCTAATAATGTGTTGCATTTGCAAAGTCGACCCCCAGAATAATCTGCTTCTTCTAGTCCCACTGTCCAGTGTGCCATGAGATAGATACCTGCTCTTCTTGTCCTTTTTTGTCTTCATAGATAATGTTTATGTATACACTGTATATAATAAAGGGAGATTTTACCAGTGGGTTAGGATTGGCACAGATCATGCTAAAACTCTTTCCATAATTTAGCAGATACTCTCAGAGCACCTCTCACATGCCCTCAATCCTTTGCCAGTTACCAGTCGTGCATACAGTTTCAGATGTGCTTCTTTTCAGGACAGTCAGTCCCCAACTCTGTCCGAGGACTTCCCTCAAGATCCAGAACTTCAGCTTTTCTTGTGTATGCAGACAGCTGCAAGAGCTTAGGAATTTACATCCCTCAGGGAGTATCCCTTAATGACTGATGCGTGTGAGGGTATAAATAATCCAGCTACCCTGCTTCTAGTTTGGGATAACCCTAGTTTTGTGATTTACTCTCCAGTGTTTCCTTGCATGACTGAGCTAAAGTTACACTCACAGAACTTTGCTTCATATTGCACCCTTGCTTGGCTTCCTTCCCTTTCTATGTCCCACTTCCCTTCTCCCCTATGGATTTTGCCAGGGGGCACTGTGTAATAAACCACTTCCATAAAGATCATCATCTCAGAGTCTGTTTTTCAGGGACCAGAACCCAGAACACATGGACTATCTTATTTAGTGCTTTCAACAAGCCCATAATGTAAGTTTTTACAGAAGAAAAAACAGAGGCTCAGAATTATGGAGCCAAGATTCCTGTCCAGTTTCCCTGGCAGCTGAGTCCATGCTCTCAGCCCCTCCACTGTATGAGGCTTAGTTCTGTGGTGCTCCTCTTCCCCTGACTCAGGGCTGGCTAACCTACTCTTATTCCTGGGTAGGTGGAGCCAATGTCCTCTATCAAGTTTCTCTCAGCTGATCCCAGCATGTCCACTAGGGAATTTGACCTTTTTCCCAAGTCTTTGTAGCTCCTTTACTGAGTCTGGACTCTAGAAATCCCATACATCGTCATCCCCCATGAGCACCAGTGAATGATTTAGACTCCAAATGAATATACATAGCATACATTGTACCCAAAACCTTCACCCCACATACATTTGAACTCTAGAGTTAGATTCCTTATTCCCTTGCTATTCAAAGTGTGGTCTGTGGACTAGCAACATGGACATCATCTGGGAGCTTGTGAAAAGTGCAGAAGCTCAGGACCCATCCCAGATCTGTTGAATCAGAATCCGTACTTTGAGAAGACCCCCTAGGAGTCATGTAGGTTTTAGAAATTGAGCCCGAGTGGAACAGGACCTGATTTTGCCACGCTCCCATGAATTCAGCCACCTGGATTCCAACCCAGTCCCTCTGCACACCACCCCTCCCTGGCATGAGCTCCCAGCATTCCGTTTAGCCAGGACCAGGCCTTCTGTGTCTACTCAATTCATAGGATTGTGAATCTCTCCTCTAGCTAAGGAATTCTGCCTCTCTTCTCACAACAATCTCCCTCTCGATAAATTTAAATTTATTTTTTCCTGAACTAAAATGGACTCTCACCTTGGGTGGGAATAAGATGGCTATTTGCCTAAAAGACAGATAAACTACGCATACTCTTAATATAGAGGATACAACCTGCAGGAAAGACTCAAGTAGAAAGTGTAAGATGAGTCCTGACTTCTAACTTGAATTAAAAAATACCTAATGCCCTGACTAGAAAGATACATTCTAAGAAAGGAGTACCTCCACGTCAGATCATTTGTGAAAAGTGATTCCTTGAAGGTTGGCTGTATTGATGGCAAAGATTGCTGCATTCAGCTGTTCTTTATTAGAACTCCTGAAGATACACCTTCTTGGAAATACAAACCTGCTCTGTGGAAAAGGGAGAGAAATTTGTGGAAAAACAGATGGAAGTAGTGAGGACGCTGCTCCATAGGTTTATTTTGCAATCTTCACAGACAGTTTTATTAAAAAGACTTCCAGTCATAATAGGGCTGTGAGTGATGTTTGTTGAGAAAGGAAATAATTTGGTAGATGGCTAGTTCCATATGAAGAGCTATTGCAGCCACAAGGAGATCTGAAGGTATGGAGA